>NC_000005.10:23338123-23641154 GCF_000001405.40 Homo sapiens | reverse complement strand
GGCCTCAGAAAACTTTCAATCATGGTGGAAGAGGAAGCACACATGTCCCTCTTCACATGGTGGCAGAAAGGAGAAGTGCAGAGTGAAGGTGGCCGGGTGGAGAGCCCCTTAAAAAGCTATCAGATGTCATGAGAACTCACTCACTACCACGAGAACAGCATGGCAGTAACCACCCCCACGATTCAATTGCTTCCCATTGGGTTCCTCCCATGACATGTGGGGATTATGAGAACTACAGTTCAAGACAAGATTTGGGTAGGGACACAGCCAAACCATATCAAAAAGAGTGACAATTTTCATGGCAGAGGAGAACTTGGTGGGCTTATGGGACAAGAGAAGACCAGTGTGCTTGAATCACTTTAAACAAAGGGTGGCAGAAAGTAGATGAGATTTGAAAGTTAGGCAGGAACTAACCCTTTATGTTATAGAGATAGGTACTTCACAATAAAAGGGTTCAATTTCATTCTGAGCAATATTAAAAATCTAATGAAGATTTTAAAAAGAGTGATGCAGAACACAATTATCTATCTATCTATCTATCTATCTATCTATCTATCTATCTATCAACTACCTATCTGTCCACTCATCCATCCATTCATCTGTCTTGCTATCCATCCATCCATCCATCCATCCATCCATCCATCCATCTATCCATCTCTCTAACTCAGGATTTCCTTTCATCCAGAATGGAAGAATTGGAGAGAGACGTATATGAGTAGTTTGGGGAAATTATTTTGAGGTAGAATAAATAGGAACAAATTTTATTTTGTTAACATTTCAAGAAAGATGAAGCACACAAAAGGGGTAACTAAGAAAAAAAGAGATTGGTGGATGAAGACAGGAAAACCAGTTTGGAGGGAGGGAAGGAAGGAGGAAAACAGGGGAGATGGCAGGAAAAAGAAGAAAGGAAAGATAGACAACACTATTGGTTTATCAATAAGACAAAGTGCACTGTTCTATAATTTATTGGTTGCAAGTTACAAAAGCTACATTTGAATAAATTTAATTTATTCTGAACAGTGAACAGAAATAAAGGCACAATTGCAAGAAACAGAAACATTAGGGAATCGAATACTGTTTCTGTCTCTTGCAATTTGTGTATTGAATTATTGAATTTTTTATTGTTTATTTTTGTTTTTGCCTTCTTGCAAATGTCTCCAAGAGACCTGGCTTTGGTAAAATGCCTGTTCTGGACAAATCAATGTATCCCTATGCCCAGGAGAAGAGAACTATAGTTTGTTCTGTTTAGTCCCATATCCACTCTGTGTGTAGGTGAGAAATTTTCATATTTAAAGGGCAGATTAATCCTTCTAACAGTCAAAGTCAATCCTTACTACAGCATAGGCAATGATTGGTTCTGCATGAGAGACTCAGGGAAGTCTTGTCTAGATGTGACATCTGAGCTGGATTTTGAAGGAAGGTATAACTCAGTTTAACACAATTTGTATTGAGGGCTGATTAAATGCAAGGTACTGTGCTGAGATGCTGTGAAGCATAGAGAAGTGAATCAAATACAGTTTCTTCAATATAGGGATTTGCAATCTAATGGAGAAGATTGACACATACACATAAGCCACTGTGGAAGTTCTCTTGACATTATTAAGTTTAATCCTGAGACATACCGAGATGCCAAGCATTCTTAAAAGGCTTAGCCATTACAACATATGCAGCAATTACTTGGGACTAGTCAGCTAGATAAAGATTAGCCTATGGAGGATGGATTTAGCTGTAAATTTGCAACATATCTATGCAATAAACAGTTATTAATTACCTATCTGTCCAGGAAAATGTGAGATTCTACAGATTCTGAGGTAAAAATGTAGTTTGAGTTCATCAAAGGAGTTGTGATCTACTGAAGGATAGGGACTAATCATAATTCACTTAAATCAGTGCTTTGCAAGAGTGTTACTCAAAGAGTAGACTAAATCACATAATGTTTAGGGACCTAAACTTGTATTTTATAGAGATAGGTAATTCACAATAAAAGGCTTCCATTTCATTCTGAGCAAGATTAAAAAGCTAATGAAGATTTGAAGAAGGGTAATACAGAATACAATTATCTATCTATCTACCTACCTACCTACCTACCTACCTATCTACCTACCTGTCCATCCATTCATGCCTCTGTTCATCCATCCATCCATCCATCCATCCAGGTCTCAGTTGCATAGTGCCGTCATGCCAGGACCTTAGGACCCTTGTAAGTAGGTGCAAATGTGATCCTTGTTTGCATATCAAAAAAAAAAAAAACTGTGCACACAGTGTGCAGAGAAGTTAACACATTTGCTCCGCAATGTAAGTGGAGACCAGTTTTATTATAAACCCAGGCAGTTTAGCTCCAGAGTCCATGCTATCAAGAGAAGATGGAAAAACATCAATAAATAAATAAATAGGTCTGGATTAGGAATTTTCAGTAAAGTTTAGGAACAGATGTGATGGGAAGAACTGAGTCAGCAAGTTCACAAAACGGAAGCATGAGATCAGAGTCAGGTGTTTCAATTAAAGACTTCTGAAATAGAATATTTTTGAGTGACCAACTGGTCCAATATGTGACTCAGAAACTTGGTTCTTAGACAGGTGTCATATAACTGAGAATTAGTGTTGTATCCTGAATATTTCATTTTTAGTCAGTCATACAGGGTCATGTTTGGATGTTTATGGTGGGAAGAATTGCAGACTGCCATCCAAAAATCACATTTAATGTGTGTTTTTGATTCTAACCCTTTGTAGTTAACAGAGTACCTGAAACCCTAACACAATAACTGTATCTAACTATATCTTTGCGTCATTTCTTTTTTCTTTTTTCTTTTTTTTTTTTTTTAGGTGGAATTTCACTCTTGTTGCCCGGGCTGGAGTGCAATGGCTCAATCTCAGCTCACTGCAACCTCTGCCTCCTGGGTTCAAGTGACTTCCGAGTAGTTGGGATTACAGGCATGCACCACCACGCCTGGCTAATTTTATATTTTTAGTAGAGATGGGGTTTCACCATGTTGGTCAGGCTGGTTTCAAACCCCTGACCTCAGGTGATCTGCCCGCCTCGGCCTCTCAAAGTGCTGGGATTACAGGCGTGAACCACCATGCCCAGCTGCCTCACTTCTTTTCTTGTGACCTCTATACCAAATTCTGTTTTTAGTATATTTCGTTCTCTGCATTCCAACTGCCAGTATACTTGTTCAAATCAGTGATACATTTCACACTTAAACTACTGCAACAATCTCTTAAATTGTCTTGTTAATCTAGACTTGCCCACTTTTAATTATCTCCAGATACTGAACTAAAATAATTTCCAAGTAATTCCTTTGTTGAAAACTTCAAGAGCACTTTAACCCCAGCAAATAAAGTCTGATTTCTTCAATCGATGGAGAATGGACCTATGTGGGTCTTCTGTGGTTTGCCTTTCTTGCCTGGTCACCCTCCACTCTCAACTTTAGCACCTGTAACCATTTTGGTCTCCTCAAATTACTTTTATTTCTCACCTTCAGGATTTTGCATATGTTTTTTACTTTTATATAATACTTAAATATATGTGTGTATACACATGTAAATTATATATAAGTATATAAAACTATATATATAAAGTATATAAATATATAAAGTATACATATATATTTTACTTCTGGCTGCCTTCTAATTTAAGCCTAAGCTTATGTATCAGTTTCTTAGCTGAGCCTTCCCTTCTTCCTCTGAGATTGATCTGTAATTATTTCTATAATTATCCTTATTTGTATCCTTTGTTTATTATTGCTATGTAAATACCTTTATTTGTCATTGTTATTATCATTTATTTGTTATACTCACAGGGAAGTCTCATACATACTTTTTTTTTTTACCCAGGTTTATTGATTGCTGACATTTCATCCTATTTGTTTTATCATTTTTGTTCACTCTCCCTCTTTGTATGAGTGCATATACATGTATACACATAATCATCTATATTTTGTTCTGTACTTTATATGTACTCTTTTTTTAATTTTTTATTATACTTTAAGTTTCAGGGTACATGTGCACAATGTGCAGGTTTGTTACACATATATACATGTGCCATGTTGGTGTCCTGCACCCATTAATTCATCATTTAACATTACGTATATCTCCTAATGCTATCCCTCCCCCCTCCCCCCACCCCACAACAGGCCCCGGTGTGTGATGTTCCCCTTCCTGTGTCCAAGTGTTCTCATTGTTCAATTCCCACCTATGAGTGAGAACATGTGGTGTTTGGTTTTTTGTCCTTGCGATAGTTTGTTGAGAATGATGGCTTCCAGCTTCATCCATGTCCCTACAAAGGACATGAACTCATCCTTTTTTATGGCTATATAGTATTCCGTGGTGTATATGTGCCACATTTTCTTAATCCAGTCTATCATTGTTGGACATTTGGGTTGGTTCCAAGTCTTTGCTATTGTGAATAGTGCTGCAATAAACATATGTGTGCATGTGTCTTTATAGCAGCCTGATTTATAATCCATTGGGTATATACCCAGTAATAGGATGGCTGGGTCAAATGGTATTTCTAGTTCTAGATCCCTGAGGAATCGCCACACTGACTTCCACAATGGTTGAACTAGTTTACAGTCTAGAGGGTGTTTTGTTGCATGTATATACATAGACAATATTACACATATATACTATTAGTCCTGTTTTTTTTGAAATCCTAATACATCAGATACTCATCAAACACACACACCCACACCCACACACACACATGCACACACACAATGTCACAATGTTAGTTTCCTTAATATTTACCCCGATGTTAGTTATTTATTTTCATACAAAACTTGCCTCATATATCATTCTTTCCTTTTTTTTTCTTTTTATAAAACTCTTTCAGGATTATATTCATTCATCCTGCAAATCTGTGATTTGAAACATTGTCACTTGTCTGTGAAAAGATATTTTTATTTTGTTTCACCAGCTACAATTCACACATAGTCTGTTCATTTGAAATTGAAAAATCATACTTCCTGAAGCCTTCTCAACCTTCATGTATTTGGAAATATTTCACTTGCTGTGAAGCTGTCATTGAACTGCCACCAGATATTTTTACAGGCTTATGCATGCACATGACATGCTAAGCTCTTTAAACTGCTATAAGCACATGCTGTGTTGCTCTTCCACAGTGCTCAGTGACTGATATGCAAATAATTTTTTATATTTCTTGAATTCTTGTTATAATACAAGTTAGATGAGAAAGTATTGTTCTATTCATATTTTCTAGTTAAGATTTCCTTTTCAAGGTAAAGGTAAATAATCATCTTGGTGGTTGCTTCAACTTCTGCCATCATACCATGCTTACTCTCTTTCCCTCCACATAAAGTTCTTAGGCCCGTACAGGTAGCTTACTTTCATACACGCAAGGACATACCTGTCATCTGGGAAGCCTGGAAGCTACTAAAATTAATTTGGTTGTCTCAACCTTCTTAAGAATGGGAAATGTGAACTACAGGCATTTGAAACTATTGACAGCCAAGAAAGATTATATTCAGAATCTCTTGATTAATTTTTTATCTATGGAAACTTAATCTCTATTTCAGGCCAATTTCTATTGTAGTAACAGGCATACAGTAACTACTGTGAATACCAAAATTTACATGAAGAATAGATGTGCACTTATTTCTAAGAAAATTGTTGTAAGTTGGGTAACGAGCCTTGAGCTAAGTTTTAAAAGACGACTGAAATGAATTCACAGGAAATGGGTCGGGGGAGGTCATTGAAGACAGAAGGAGAAGGTTGCTTTAATTCAAATGTATGAAGGGAAGAGAGTAGGCTACACATAGAAAAACACACATCAAACCTTACTATTGGCAGTAAAATCAACCTTGAACTTTTTAAATCATATAAGTCCAGTGTTCAAATAAGTGTTGATTTTTGTTTTTTTCTGCACAACTTCATTATACCTGACTGTGGACAATTTGAGCCTCCTGCTTCCTTGCACTCTTGATCTTTGTGGAAAGATCCTACCAGTTGCATTCCTGGAAGAGAATAGAAAATGTTACACTTTTAATTTTTTTTTTTTTTTTTTTTTTTTTACAAAAGCCCCTCTTTAAACTCTGTATATACTACATACTCATTATGGAGTTAAAAGGATACAAGATCCCTAGTGATATTCTTATTCTCTTTCACTAAAAATTACCTTCTCAATGTTCAGTCAAGTATAATATTCTTTTGTTCATGGGTTTTGTTCACAATCAATATTTTGTGAAATAACCTATCCCCAAATCCCAACTACTTATTCCCCACAAACCTTGGCAACCAAAACTTCATATTTCCTGATTTTAACATTTTTCTCCCCAGACTCTTCACCCTCTACATTAGCCATGATTCATATGAATGCAAAGTGGCTTTAGAAATCCTAATAGAGCAAGATGGTCTCCAGCAGTTTCTATCACTCACCAAAACAGTTTATTTCATGGGTAATGATTTTATTGATATGAAGAAGTGAATGTAACTCAGATATATGCTCTAAAGTTTTGTAGCATGGTTTCATCTTAGAAAAGGAAAAAAAAATCACACATGCTAGACATTAGTTGATTTCTTATAAAGTGTGCCTATATTCACTGGGGAAAAGCAGGTTAACGAACACTCGGTTATTATACTGAACAGCAATCAATTTAATGATCTGCAGTTTCCACTGTGGTTGTCTTCATTCCCAGTTTCAAGTTGATAAAGTTTTTTCTCACAATTTTCACTTGTGCTAAATATTTTTATAAGATGACATGAGCTTCCTGATCTCCATCTCTAAAAGTGGAGTTTGAGTTAATAGATTAAAATTTTAGAAAGCCTGCATTGGCTATAAATAACAATAAATTTTATAACTTAAAATCTAATTAACTATTGTGATAGGTTATTATTATTACTATCTTTATGAAAGCATGAGGTATTTGTACTCTTTAAAAATTATTGAGGTTTGTTTTATGGCTTACCAAAAAGTCTATTCTAAAGAATATCCCATGCTATTTTAAAAATTTTAAATTTATTTAAATTTTTAATTTTTGTAGATTTATAAGTGTAAGTGCAGTTTTCTGACATGGATATATTGTGTAGTGGTGAAGTCTGGACTTTCAGTGTTGCTGTCACACACATAGTGTACGCATTAAGACACTCATCTTAATTTCTCATCCCTCAGTCTCCTCCCACTTTCCCCACTTCCAATTCTCCAGTGTCTATTATTCCACGCTCTATGCCCATGTGTATATACTATTTAGCTCCCACTTATAAGTGAGAAAATGTAGTATTTGATTTTATTGGATTTTATTTCTGAGTTATTTTACTTAAGATAATGGCCTCCAGTTCCATCCATGCTGCTGCAAATGACACCATTTTATCCCTTTTTATAGCTGAGTTGTATTCCATTGTGTGTTTGTGTGTATATATATATGTGTGTGTGTGTGTGTATATAAATATATGCACAGTATATATACTCTGTATACCCACAGTATTTATATACTGTGTGTGTGTATATATATGTACATACATAGTATATATATACTACATACATAGTATATACTTTTATTTTTTGTTGCTTTTAGTCTCATATATACTATGTATATATATACTATGTGTATATATATAATGTGTATATATATACTATGTTTATATATATAATTTGTATATATATAATGTGTATATATATACTATGTGTATATATAATGTGTATATATATACTATGTGTATATATAATGTGTATATATATACTATGTGTATATATAATGTGTATATATACTATGTATATATAATGTGTATATATATATACTATGTATATATAATGTGTATATATATACACTATGTGTATATATAATGTGTATATATACTATGTATATATAATGTGTATATATATATATACTATGTATATATAATGTGTATATATATACACTATGTATATATAATGTGTATATATATACACTATGTATATATAATGTGTATATATACTATGTATATATATACACATAGTATGTGTATATATATACACATACTATGTGTATATATATAGTATGTGTATATACATATACACATACTATATATATATACACATACTATGTGTGTATATACACACACACACACACACGCATATATATATAACACTTATACACACCACTTTTTTTTTAATCCAGTTATCAATTGATAACCACTTAGGTTAATTCCATACATGTTATTGTAAATACTGCTGCAGTAAACATGTGAATGCTGATGGGGCCTCTCACCAGGCCCCACCTCCAACACTGGACACCACATTTCAACATGAGATTTAAAGGGTACACATATTCAAATCATATCCGACTCATAGGTGCTGTGATTTTGAAATCTTTCATCTTTTTTTATGTTCCAGAGTGTTCTTTGTTATTTTATGTTTTTTTTAATGTATTATGGTAGCGTACATTTAAGCTACATTTTTTCCTAAGAAAATTTTGGATGCCGCTTCATTGTTATTTGGTATTGAATATTGCTGGAGAAAAAAAAAACCTGTGTTTTACTGCTAGTATAACACATTCTTTCTAATTTCACTGACTGTAAAGATCTCTAATCAAAGTTCAATGGCATGGGATAGAGCAACACAATTTCTTTTAATTAAATATTAAGTGTATCAAAACAACAACAACAAAATAGAGTAATGGAGCAGCACCAATACATACAAAACTCAAAACTGTTACTTTGTAAATAAGTTCTCATATTTACTAGTAATAATGTGAAAAAATTAATGTTAGAGATGCAGCCGAAGACTCCCTCTTAAGTGTGAATTGTTCTGTCATTTGTGTTTGATTTTGTTTTTTATAATTAAACTTTATCTTGAGTAAAATACCATACTTAAGTACAATTTTATATGTTCATATAGGTATTGTGTATGTGAGTTCCATCATCTATGAATTTTTCCTTATGTACATTTTGATGTTGCTTTCCTTTTTCTTTATTAAATTTTGGAAACTCTTATATAACAAGATATAATAATGCAGATTATTTGCATTTTATATATTTTTCAGGTACTATTTATTTTATTTTTGTTGCTTTAAGTCTCATTTAAACTGTATGTGTTTTTTAGTTATGTAGTCAAAATAATCAACCTTTTTTCTCTGTGGTTCAAGAGTTAGAACCGGCACATTAGAAAGAGATTCCTGTGATTTCACACTGTCTGGAGCCTCAGCTAAGATGGTTTGAAAGGTTTGAGCTCTAATTCCCAGAGCCTTCATTCACATCTGGCATTTGTACTGGATGACCCAAAGCTACATTCAGCTGAGACTGTTGAACACAGTCTTGGAAAGAGTGTGGACTTTCCTTGTGTCTTGAGCTCCCACGCATTATGGCAGGTTCTGAGAGGCAGTGTTCCAAGAAGGAGTAATCTGAGAACCAGTGTTCTAAGAGAGCCAGGAAGAAGCTGCATATCTTCTACTGACTCAGACTAGAAGTCACACATTATGGACTGAATATTTGTGTCCTCACTCCAAACTTTCAAGCATTGAAATCCTGTCCCCAATGTGATTATTTTAGGAGGAGTGGCCTTTGGGAAGTTTTTCAGCCATCAGGGTGGAGCCCACCAGAATGGGATTAGTGCTCTTATAAAACAAGGCTACAGAGAGCTTTCACACCCTGCTCTCAGCCATGTGAGGATACAAGGAAAAGATGGACAATTGCCAACCAGGAAGTGGGGCCTCACCGGACACTGGATCTGCTGGCACCTTAAACTTGGACTTCCCAGCCTCCAGATGTGTGATCTGTGACTAATACCTTTGTGTTGCTCAAGCCTGTGGTATTTGCTTATAGCAGCCCATGCTGATTAGATACCAAATATCATCACATTTTCTTGTATATAAGTAATATGACCAGCTTAAACTCAACAGAGAGGGATTCAAATTTTCCTCTTGAGGAGAGAGTGGCAAGGTTCTAGAAGAGTGTGCAGATGGGAGATACCGCTGTGGCCCCAACAGGAAAATGCATTCTTCACATGTGATCTTTTTTGTCTTAGTAGCATTTAGGGTCGCCTGAATTTTTACATGTTTATTGGTTATTTGCTTAATTTCCTTTCTCCACACAAATAAAATAAAAGCTTCACATGGGTGGGAAGGTGTATGGTTCATTTGGTTCACTGGTGCATCATCACTAGTGACTAGAAATTGGGTAGCTACAGCAGGTATTTATGCTCTGCGTGTCAGTACCTATGGGCTAGTAGAGTGTTTCCCAAACTTTTCATGTAGATGACACACACTGGTGTATAATATTATCTATCGTACTGGGGAAAAGAGAAAATGTTGTTCATAACTGGAGGTGAGTAATTCAGCGTCTTTGAGAACTGTACACCTGTCCTAAAATCCTTGATGGTGCAAGAACCCAGTTCTCCACATCTGTCACTCATTCTCTTGATTTCTAGAAATATGAGAAAAATGAGAATATAAAATTCTCAATTGTTGCCTCTATCCTACTGTCTCTAAATTATACCCTTCAAGGAGTCCTTTTAGATTCACGGTATGATGTATAATTCTTTTTTTCACAAAATTCTCTTTGAACTTCTCTTTCTTATTTCCTATCTTGTTATTTCTGTATGTTGCATTAGGAATGATTTAATTAAATATCTCTTTAGCGATCTCTCATCTACTGTACATTTCTACGTGGAGATATTTTAAAAATTAGTGGTATATTTTTAATGCTAGAAAATGCACTTTTTTTCCCTCAAAGACAGCCTGGTCCTTGCCTTAAAGTATATATCTTGCCATACACAATACATTCTTCCTGGAATTTTTATTTAAATACTGAAAACTGATTTTTTAAAAAAATTAACAACTTTGGAGAGTAAATTTAACAGTTTATTGCATCTTTGATTCTCAACATAGACAAATACTTTTGTTCTTTAATATTATAGTAAATTATTTCTTAGTAATAATTATTTTGTTATTGTAGCAATGCAAATCTCATGGTCTAGAGTAATTGTGTGTTGTAGTTTTCTGGTTGACTATAGGTAGAATCTACTATGTTCATATAAATATATAAAATTGTATATATGTATATACATACATAGCTCATGCATGCATGCACTTTTTTTTATTCTTTCAACATTCAAGAATGATTTCTGTGTCCCTTTCCTAGTATATTCTGGCCTCACTAAGTAGTGTGATTTGGCACCACCACAAGCATTTTGGAATTACGTTATAATGCTGAAAATGTCCTATAAGACAATGTTAAACTGCTGGGGGCCTTTCCTACTGCTACCCAGTCCTTTGACTGGATATTTTCCTGTTAAGTTTTGTATTGATAGGAAAGCACATCAGTGGACCCAGTTACATATTGAAGGGGTCCAGAATACACCACTGCGGCCAAAATAAAAATAAAGAATGATTTCAAATAGAAGGCATTTGAGTTCCTGAAATCTCTCATCTGCCCAAAAGCAGAGCCTTCCAGAAGAATGAAAAGAACACAATTATGATAAATTTCCTCCCAAAAGCAACCAGGCAAGATTGACTGTTACTGGAGATGAGAAGTTTCTACACCACCTGAAACCTACATTGCCACAGAACTATCTTATCTCCCCTCTGTTCTCCTAAGGGCTTATTTATCTTCCCAAATAGTCATTTGTTTTCTCTTAAGTACCATTCTCTCCAACCTCTTGCCCTATTAAGATGGTATATAAACCACAAATCTAACTATTCCTATGAGTCATATATTTTTCTGTGAATTTTCGTTCAAATATAATTACACGTATTTGTTTTTCTAATCTATCTTTTGCCAGTTTAATTCACAGGTCTTCAATCACAGAACCTAGGAGGGGTGAGAAAAAAGTATTTCTTCTCTGAAAGTATGACTATATTTCTGACTTTCTAGCTAGTTAGGATAAGAGGACCTATCACTCTTTTTCTTTCAATCTTTAAACCTCTGTTCTTCAGCTTCTTAGGCTTATACCAATTGCATAAAACCATTAGGACAGGCTCTTAGCTTTAATTAATTTTATTACATGATGCTTGAGTTTTCTCCAATGTGTGTGCAATGCAAAATTTTTCCTTTCTTGTTTCCAAGACAAAATATGTATATAAAACTTGATTTGTGGGCAGGCGCGATAGTTCACGCCTGTAATCCCAGCACTCTGGGAGGCTGAGGCAGGCAGATCACTTGATGTCAGGAGTTCAAGACCAGCCTGGCCAACATGGTGAAACCCCATCTCTACTAAAAATACAAAAATTAGCTGGGCATGGTGGCACATGCCTGTAATCCCAGCTACTCAGGAGGCTGAGGCTGGAGAATCAGTTGAGCCCAGGAGACGGAGGTTGTGGTGAGCAGAGATCACGTCATTGCACTCCAGTCTGGGCGATAGAGTGAAATTCCATCTCAAATAATAATAATAATTATAATAATAATAATAATAAGAAGAAGAAGAAGAAGAAGAAGAAGAAATAAAACTTCATTTGTTTTCACAGTTTTTCCAGGACTGCAAATCATTTCATTAGAAAGACAGGAATTGGGGATCAAGTCAAATGATAATATTAGTTGGAAAACTTCACTATTATGTTATGTCTTTTTTTCTGTTTTATTTGCAGTACCACAGTTATATGTATATTTTATTATCTGTGTAGCCTATCTTCATTATCCTCTTTATTTAATTATTTTAACATTATTTCCGATAATCTCAAGATTGTTTTCACAATGTGTATTTATTTTTCTGCCAATGTATTCAATTTATAACTGAATATTATTTTAGCTTACATTCAAGTTATTTTATCCTTATTGTTTTATTTGATATCTTTGAAATCTTGTGTTTTATCTCAACATGTTATATTGTCAAAGGTTATATACTGAGTTTTCACATCAGTAAATTTATTCTTATATCACTTTATATTGTTATATATGAATTATAGATTTGTTTGCATTCCCATGGGTTATAATTATTTTGGTCTTGTTTTTCTATTACACCTAAGTTTCTTCAAATTTTTCTACTTCCTGTCTTGACTTTTTCTAGTCACCGTTCTAGGGCTGAACATGAGCAGCTATGACCAAATTTCTCTTTTCTCTGACATAATGAGCAAGAAATTTCCTTGAAACTTCCCACCTTATATGAGTCATATTTGTCTTTAGCATGAAAATCAGTTTGTTTTTTCGATATTTTTAACCACATATGTTAGGCCTGAGCACGAGAAGGTAGGCTGCCCTTCTGGGGTTATCTCTAATTAAACATGTCTGTCTTAGTCCCATGAGCATGTCCTTAAATGCAGAAAGTCGCCCCGAAGGCTGTGAAGTTGTAGAAATGATAAACCCTAGTAGTTATCTGAAGAATATTATGACATTACATATGAGCTTCTACCATTGATGTGTACTCCCAGAGTACGATGCTATTTCTATTTGCAAGTGGAAAAACCTAACTCTGCACAGTGCTTTTTAAAGAGCTTTGTTCTGGGCCAATATGAGTGACTGTAGCCTAGGGAAGCAGTCTCAAGGAGTACTGAGAAAGGGCAGCTGAGGCAGTCAGATCACAGTTTAGATTTATACATTTCAGGGAGGAAAAATTTACAGGCGAAAGCATAAACCAATGTACGAAACATAAACACTGGTTAGCCCCAACAAAGCAGGATACCTTGAAGTGGGTTCTTACAAGTCATAGGGGGATTTGAACATTCTTTAATTTGCAGTTAGTCAAAGGAGTTTCTGTCTAAACTTGAAGCCAGTAGAAAGAAATGTTTTATGTTAACAGAAGGATGCTATGTAGCAAGATTGATGGCCTGACCATAGGTCATCAATGGCCTTAGGTCTTTGTTTATAATTTAATATCTTATTTTCACAAAGACTCTGTTTTGTTAATCTCATTATATATATTTATACACACACATATATGTACATATAGTGTATATATATACACACACGCACATATATATACATATACATATATATGCATGTGTTATATATATATACACACACACACAGACATATATATTATATATGTATTTTTTTTTTATTAAATCTGGTCAGTTGCTGTTCCTTCAACTCCCAAAGGGAGGGGATATAATGAGTCATGAGGCTTGTCCAGCTTCCCTATCACGGCCAGAAACTCAGTTTTTAAGGTTTCTCTGGAGCCCCGTTGGCCAAGAGAAAATTACTCAGTTGGTATGGGGTTTAGGACTTTATTTTCAGTTTTCACATCTAATCCCGTCTCCTCATTACTCTCAAAATATTTGGCTCTTCTTGAAATGGCTCAGAATTTCCTAAACTCCTCTTTATTTGTTTTCTCCACTATTGTTTTCTGAATCATTTTGAAGTGCCTTAAGAGTGTTATTTATTTAGCCAAAAGTGCCACTTTAATCTAAGTCACTGTCATAATATTCTCTTTCCATGTTTTCTTTTAGTTAGTAAGTCATTTGCTGGAGATTTTATTTTTATTTTTTGAATTGGTAAAAAATTTGTTGATTGACCTCTTTACTGCTAGACACCTGACTTCTCAAAAGTCAGAATGTGTTTTTAAATTACATTCACTAGGGACTCCAAAGCTATATCGCTATTTCACCTTGCCAAGAGGCTCATTGTAGGGTCACTAACAAAATAAAATAACTAATATACAAATGTACTCAATTATCTTCCACATGAAATCATTTTATTAGTATTATTATTAATTAATTTATTTTTTTGAGACGGAGTCTCGCTCTGTCGCCCAGGCTGGAGTGCAGTGGCGCGATCTTGGCTCACTGCAAGCTCCGCCTCCCAGGTTCACGCCATTCTGCCTCGGCCTCCTGAGTAGCTGGGACTACAGGTAGACGCCACAACGCCCGGCTAATTTTTTGTATTTTTTAGTGGAGACGGGGTTTCACCATATTAGCCAGGATGGTCTCGATCTCCTGACCTCGTGATCCGCCCGCCTTGGCCTCCCAAAGTGCTGGGATTACAGGCATGAGCCACAGCGCCTGGACCACATGAAATCATTTTTATTCGAAGTCATCAATCACACCATATATTAAGTAAGTTAATGCCAAAATCTTTTCCATCCTCTGGACATGTATACATGTATGTGCAGTAAATCTGGTGAATAAAAGGCTCATATATATATATATGTGTGTATTTTAATTAAATAAATAAAACATATCAAATAAATATATTAAATATATTTGTACATATTTCAAATTATTTCATCAATCTTATATGATACTTTTAACCACAATTAATGACTTTTTTACTACTTATTATAATTGATGAACATGATAATGATTCTAAAGCTTTGATATCTGCAGAGGCATATTTTCGATCAGTAAAATAAGCTGATTGTTCAATACTGATCTTTTATAGATGTTAGTGTACATATATGAAAAATTTCAAATAACTGAAATATTTGATAATCAAGAACATATCATCCACAATACTTAATAAAAAGAAAGTAAATTATCTTTACAGATGATTGGCATGTTTCTGGAAATAAATAACGATTCATTAGCAAAACATATTTTACATCAGTTGGATATAACAAATAAAAAGACTAGAAATATACCATTCAACATTTTCATGTAAAACAAGGTTAATTTTAGTTCATCTTCTGTAGTGTGACTTTTATTTGAAATAAACTTGGAAATTTCACTTATTATAGAGTGCCAACTATAGTAACAAAATCAAAACACATTTTAAAACAGCAATTAGAAATATTTGTTCATTTGTTGTCCCCATTAAAATTCTAAATAAAATTAATAAATGTGGTTATTTGCTCTTTTTTTTTTTGAGACAGAGTCTCACTCAGTCACCCAGGCTGGAGTGCAGTGGCACCATCTCCACTCACTGCAACCTCCGCCTCCCGGGTTCAAGCGATTCTCCTGCCTCAGCCTCCTGAGTAGCTGGGATTACAGGTGCCCACTACCACTCCCAGCTAATTTTTGTATTTTTAGTAGAAATGGGGTTTCACCATGTTGGTCAGGCTGGTCTTGAACTCCTGAGCTCGTGATCTGCCCACCTCGGCCTCCCAAAGTGCTGGGATTACAGGAGTGAACCATCGTGCCTGGCCTGTTTTTTGCTTTTTAAAATAAATTGTCATTGAAATACATTGAAGGAATTTAAATAAAAATAGTATTTTAAGTATTTTTTAAAATATGGTAAAGTTTGGACCAGATTACATAAAACATGCACTCTCTTGAAGTTTGATTTAGTCCCTGAACTGTTTGCTCTTCACCCACTAGAGTTCCTTGTAACATCCACCTACAAAAATACTCATGAGTTGTTTTCTTAAAAATGTCTAAACTACCTTTTTCTGAACACTATGACTTCTTCCCATCATTACTGAACAGTTATATTTTGCTTCACTTTCAAGTAAATTTTTTTACACAATATCTACTTCCACAATTATCACTGTTCGAATTCATTTTATTTTTGTTATTCTTTTGAATGTGCTTTAACAATGATTTATAGGTATATACATAATTTTAGACTTTATATATACTCATGCATATGTATTTGTGCACGTGTCAGCTATGGTATTGTCAAACTATATTTTTTCACTTAAATTACTACTTGCACTTATGAATTTACTAAATGAGTTAGTTTTAGGTGGGGCTTTATTCTCAATGTTCATAGCTGCATCACCTGTGAAATTTCAAAAAAAAATAAAGAATTCTCTCAAACCCTATTTAACCTATGTTCAAATTATGCACTAAGATTGTTCTGTATTATAATTATTTTTAAAAGATAGTCTTTTTATCACTTTTAACCATTTAATTTTGAAATAGTTCTAGGCATATAGGAGATTGTAAAGATCATGCAAAGAAGTTTTATTCATGCTTTATATAATTTTCGCCATTGGTTACGATTCATATACAGATAAAATAATGTCAAACCAGAAACATGCCATTAGTTTAAAATGTTTATGTAGTTCCGTGTCACCTATCACATGTATAAGTTCATTTTACCAACAGAGCAATCAGAATATAGAACTACCTCATCACCACAAAGATCTTCTTTATGCTACCCCTTTGTAATAACAGCCATCCTCCCTGTCCCTCTCTTTTGGCACCCACTAAATAGATTTTATAGCTCTATTATTTTTTCCAAATTTAGGGAGTGCTATATGAATTGAGTAACACATGCCTTTCAAGATGAGGTTTTTTTTTTTTTTCTCAGCAAGATGTCCTTTTTTGTGCCAATTATATTTTAAACTAGAAGTTACTTGGGGAAAGGCTTCCTTTAAAAATATTACAAATAATAGACTCCAAGGATATTCAAGATGGTACATTGGACCAAGAGAAGAAAAGCAAAGAAATACACATGTGGTTTAAAGATAAGAGAAGAGGCTGGGTGCAGTGGCTTACACCTGTAATCCCAGCATTTTGAGAGGCCAACAGGGGCAGACCACCTGAGGTCAAGAGTTTGAGACCAGCCTGGCCAACCTGGTGAAACCTCATCTCTACTAAACATACAAAAATTAGCCGGATGTGGTGGTGTGTGCCTGTAGGCCAAAATACTCGGGAGGCTGAGGCAGGAGAATCGCTTGAACCTGGGAGGCAGAGGTTTCAGTGAGCCAGGATTGCACCACTGCACTCCAGCCTAGGTGACAGAGCAAGAATATGTCTCAAAAATAAATAAATAAATAAAAATAAGAGGAGAATAATCCAATTATCTAATAAAAATTAATAATGGACTTTGTTTATTTTATAAAATAACAATATTAAAAATAATTTAATGATGCACAACAGCTTAATATAGAAAGGTAAGTTCATACAGATATATCAATGTTTCATAAATAACGTGTATATACATACACACAATTTTTCAGTGACTTAGTGTTAGAACTAATACATTCTATCGACCTTTTTTTTAATCCTAGCTTTTAATCACAAATGACTGTTGAAAAAGTAGAAATAAGCTTGCCAGCATTATGAAATTTGGCAAGTAGGCTTATTTTCTGACAAATTTATTTCAGAATGATGGTGCCAAGGATAGGTATCAGTCAGGCCTGATGCCCTGGCAGACTAATCAGAAAGACTCTGCCATTTTCCACGTTTGTAGTTTATTTCATGCCCCAAAGCCTGACTTTCATACTTTAAAGAAAATCTTATTGGGTTTAATACTCTCAGCGAGTTAGCGGTGTTATTCAGAAACTCTGCCATGCAATTTCACAGTAGGAAAATTGGTGAGGGGTCACTAGGATAGTCATAACTGTTTCATCCAAAATGTTTCTACCCTGTTTTTGCTTTCTTAGAAATCTCAGTGTATGAGACAATTTGAAAGTATAATAGCATAATTAAAACCATTTCATATTTTAATATGATGGTAATTTAGTCAGTGTAATTTTTTAAAGGCAAATGTTCTCATGCTTATTAACAGAAAAAGTTAACGTTCACTCTAGGTAAGACTTCAGCAGGATATGCAATTTCTTTTACAGTTTTCTGCAGCTTACATTCCTATGTTGCAGAGGTGCTGAGATATCAGAAAGAAATGTAATGTAAATATAAATTTAAAATGTAGGTATACTGCTAAGCTTCTCTGCATTTCAAAAGCAAGGGCTATGTTTTAAAATGATGTCTCTTTTTTTAAAGTATTTTTAAAAATTAATAAAACATAAGATTCATAAGTATACTTTTATAAAAATAATAAAAAGAACATCAGTATGCTCAATCCATTGTAAGACATGTCATCTATACCCTAGATTGCCTTTTTGAAATCTGTAAACGTAGTCCTTTCTCCAACAAAGTGGCAAACAGTATACCCCGTTTGATATTGATCATTCTTTTACATTTTGAAAAAGTATACCAACGTCTATCTTTGCATCCATAAACTACCAAACTGTTTAGATTAGCTGTTATTTGTGAAGATTTTATGAGAATGTAGGTTAAAATTTACATGCCAATAGTCTAAATAATTTCATATAGTTTTATTAATCAGTGTTTTCAATTACATGTGTGGTTGATGAACAGAGATTTTCCTAAACAAAATAAACAAGTATTACTTACCTTAAACATAAACTGCGCACATTTTAATCTGTGTTTTCATGTGACGTTATAAACACTATAATGAAACATATACATTCTGACATATAGCTACTAGAGCAGTTATTAATTCATTACTTAAAAATTGTCAGTTCCTTAAGTTCCAAAACATGGTTCATGCAGTGTGTTTTTATGCTTCTAGATGAGACCTATTCAGCTAGTATTAGCATGTACCTTATTCTCTTTTACATGCTTTATTTACATTAAAACACTTAATTATGAAAGAAAAAAATTACCCATGAGATACTTGATATTTTGCCCACATTTTTCAAGTAAGAAAACTCAGAGTTTCTCTAACTTGCTTCAGGTCAATTAAATTGAGATTCCAACCTGAGGACACTGGTACAAACCCTATGCCAGAGATTCTAAAATGTTTTTGGTTCATGAAGCTCTGAATGTGTTGCTACTTTTTAAAATATCTATGAGTTTCTATTTTTAACTACATAGTAAGTCCAAAATCCTTAACGAGTATTTATGTCTTAACAATTTAAGAGTCATGTGAAATAACAAACATGTCATTTGAAAAAAAAAAACATAATTTTATTTTTTGTCTTTAATAACCACATTTACTTATGGGATGCGTGCCCCCATCAGGGCCGAATGACTTGAAATTCTATTGACTATCCTGATTTACAGTTCTCCACTGATTTTCATGCAGTACTTGCCTTTTATTATTGCAACTACCAAAACTCAACCTCACAAATATGGCGTCAACAAAAGAAGGTAGGATAATCAAATATTATAATTGTGAACTCAAACTAGTATTTTGTGTGTCACCTGATGTTGAACGTCCTTTTGTTTCTGTCAAAAATGTAAAATATTCTGCAGAGTTATGTATGGTGCCGTGTTGCCTTACCACACAGTTTAGGAATGGTTTCCTTATGTTCATTAGCCTCCTGTCATCCTGGGCAGAAGCTCAGTGCACATTTAAGAAGCTATTCTAATGAGTGTGTCAAACAACTCTATGGCTTTAAACAATGTCCTAAACTTCACTGAGACTCCATTACTTAAATGGTGGTGAGGAATAATAAAAGCCATAGTTGATTCAACAAATTCATGTATTTAAATTGCTAACTGTCTGACAAACACATGATAGGCAAATGATACTTGTTGTCCTTCTTATTCATACAACTTTCCTAATTTTCCTTTCCACATTCTGAAGTGCATTTGATCTAAACGACTCTGTGTAATTCAGGGTAAAAATTTTTTCTGGAAATTTCAATCTAGTATCACCTAATAGGGTGATGTATTCACAAAAAGAAAGTCACATTTTGTGCAAAGGTGCTGCCAGTTTTCATTTTATTTTATTTTTTTAGAGCTGGTTTTCTCACTCGAATGGGAAAAGAGAGAATGGGAAGAAGAGGTTAAAATTTAAAAAGCACAGAGATTGTAAACTGGAAGCTCTGGAAATTTACTTTTATTCATTTCACAAATATGTCTCAATTGAAATGATAAGTTACTTACACTGTTTGAAATACCTGTGCTTAGACACAACCAAGTTTTTTTTTAATCACTAAGTGCTACTTTTAAGCATGTTTTTAAGCTGTCTACATTAAATTTTACATAGCACATTGAACATAAAATTTAAATAAATATCTTGTTAAATGTACAATCCCACTAGGACAAATCCACTTCCTTTTATGCAGGCCAAGACCTTGAGGAAAACTGTATAAGCAAAATGGATATTATCCACACTCCACCGCCTCTAAGTCTGCTTTGTTCCAAAAAGCCAATATCTGTACTTCGATTACCTCAAGTTCAACTCTTTGCGGATCTAGTCAATTTATTTGGCCTTGTGATGGTCAAGGCTGTAGTGTGTAATTTTATTGGGAATGGTCAGCATGCGAACATAAATCAAATCAATTTTATAGAATCAGTTTTAGTATATGACCTTCATATGGCATTTCTTTCTCTTCTACTTATAAGTTTTCACTACTCTCTTTACCCAGTCAGTAGGATAATAAAGATTATTTTCTCTTAATTCATGTAATATGATTAGAAATACTTTAAATAAAAGGGGGATATATATTTAGGCTTCTGATTAAATCATTTTTATTCAGAGATAATGTATTTAACATTAATTTGATAAACTTGATTTGAAATTTTTCTTAATTTATTACTAAACAGATGTATTAAAGTTTAAGTTAAAAATACAACTTAAAATATATTTTCATAATGGTATGATTGTTTATTCATATTTGATATAGTAGAAAAGCTATAAAATGTCTACAGGTACACAAATGATGATTAAAAATAAGAAGAAAAAACTTTTAAAGAAAATAATTACTATTAAATGTGGATGGTGCTGTGTCACAGACTATTTGTTGACCCTAAAGGATATTAATAGATACATAATTGATTTTAATATAAATATAAATATATTTTTCTCTGAAAGTGCTTTTGAATCTTATAAACTATTTACAACATTATGGTATTGCTTTGATCACAGAAGTGTCATTAACAATTGGACTACATTAAATCTAGAGCAATGTATCTATTAAATAACCATAGTAGAGTAAGATACATACTCTTTAAGAGTAATTATATCTCTTTTGATAAAAATTGGAAATAACATTTCATTGATTTATTTAATCCCACAAATGATTATCTTAATTTTTTTGTTAAGTTGTTCTTCCTTTGAAGATTAGTAAATCATTTTTCAAATATGAGACACAATTCTTTTCCTTATATGCATTTGCACTCATTGATTCTGGTGATCTGTGGTTAAATGATTCTATTATTTGAATAACAGTTTCATAAACAGTATAATTTTAAGTAGAACTTGAAATTGGATTAAAACCTTGATGGAATAAAAACACACATGGTAATTTGAGTAATATAAAAGCTTTGTTCAAATGCTGAATCCATTCTGCTGTTAATTTACAGACTCTTGATGTACATATCCAGAATAATAAGACGCACTCTGCCAGATTGTTCTATGGAGTAAATGACAACACATATAGAGGTTTTAGTGTATGGTAATTCTCCAAAATATATTTTTCTTTCTAACTGAAAACAATAATATTTGAGAAATATTTAAAATAAATATGTATCAGAGGCCAGGCACCGTGACACCCAGCACTTTGGGAGGCCGAGGTGGGTGGATCACTTGATCATTTGTGGTCAGGAGTTCAAGACCAGCCTGGCCAACATGGTGAAACCTTGTCTCTACTTAAAAAGAAAAAAAGAAAAAAAAAGAAAGAAAAATTAGGTGTGATGGCGATCGCCTGTATTCCCGGCTACAGAGGATGCTGGGGCACGAGAATTGCTTGAACCTGGGAGGTGGAGGTTGCAGTGAGCCAAGGTTGCACCACTGCACTCCAGCCTGGGCTATAGAGTGAGACTCTGTCTCAAAAATACACAAACAAACAAACAATAAATAAATAAAAATAAAATATACATCAAAAACCTTACATTAAATTTTGTAAAATATATCTACTATGGATAATTTGTATGAATTAGTTGAATAGTATGAACAACACTTGAATTACTATTTCCTAAATTTAAAATATTTTTTAAACAGGAATAAAGGATTGCTGATGGTTGAAGACAAAACTAGTACCTAGGTCTCCATTTGTCGTATTTCCTGTAAAAGTAATACTGAAAATAAAACACCTGAAAACCATCTTTTAGCATAACGTGAGGGCAGAGAATTCCTGACATTACATAATTACATATGTATTTTTTACATGTATATTATTTTTACATATATATGCATATATACATATATACATATACATATACACATATACACATATTTACATATATACACATATATACATATACATATATTTACATATATACACATATTTACATATATGCACATATATTTACATATATACACATATATATTTACATATATATACACACACATATATTTACACACACACACACACACACAGAAAAAAACACCAAGTCACATCATGGATAGACTCACATTCCTCCACCAACTCCACCCCAGGGAAGGGCAAGGGGCCAGCAATGACAAGCCTAGAAAGACTGAATGAAACAGAAAGAGACGGAACAATGGATCCTAAGAGTGATCTAAAGTTGTTTCCAGAAGAACTAAATACATTAATGTTGTAGTCTGAAATACTAATTACATCTGGTGGTTGAGTGCATAGAAAAAATATGTCCCCATGGAAGGCACCAAAAAATGTAAACAATTTGAAAAAACTGTCATTAAAACTCACACTAGGGGAAATATTTAAAGTAGGAAGGGAAAACACTAATTGGCAATTAAATGATACGAAGAGAAAGGCATAACAGTGAAAATTTAACATCCTGCACATTATAAGAGACCTAAAACATCTGAAAGCACACAGCTCCTCTTTTAATTATGAAAGCAAACAAAACCAAAAGAAACACTGAATATCTGACTTTACTATATTCATAGCTGAGGACACTCAAATTAAGGCGCTATAAGTGACAGAGCAGGAACAACATCATCTCGAATGAACGCTGCCACTTTAAGTTCCAGTGCCCTTTTTAGCCTCGTGCATTTCAAGAAAATCACTTCTCTTCTCTAGCTACAAGCAGCCAGAAAAACCAGACAGTAAAACACAGATAAAACAGTTCGAGCACAGAAGAAGGTGGGGAAAAAGTCTCTTGGGTAACTGCAAAACTTCACCCTTCTACAATGGGCCCCAGTAAAACAGTGGGCCTTAATAAGCACATTCCTTTCCCTTCAGGTGCACTAAAATAGGGAAGCTAAAAGCAGGCTTGGGCGTATGCCTGCAGCGGCAGAAAAATGTATAGGAACAAACACACAACTCTCTCTCCCAAATAAGCACAACAAAGAAACACAGAAGCAGTCCAAGCCTTTAATAAACTCTCCCACCCTAAATCCTTAAAAACTCTTAGTCTGTAAGAGAGTGTGCCTCTAACCTAACACAGACAAACACCCCTCTCAGGTTTGTTTTCTCTAAAATAAACCTGTCTTAACCATCAAGCCACCTTTCATGTTTCTTTCCTCTTTCTTTAATTCTTACGATAAGCACCTCAATAACACAAACATGAACAACATTAATAGAAGTATTGCAAAAATCAGAAAACAAAATTCAACAAATATCAATTGAGTTAAACTTTCCCCAGAAAAACAAACATAAAGCCCCTTGATGTACTCATTCCAAATGGGTTTAAGTATACTCAAGCAAATAATTGGATATTTTAAAGTTGTGTTAAAAAAGAAATTAAAAATAACTAAGAACACAACAGATAACATGTAAGAAAAAGGTAACTGGATGGGTGCATGGCTCATGCCTGTAATCCTAGCACTTTGGGAGGCCAAGATGAGTGGATCACCTGCGGTTAGGAGTTCGATACCAACCTGGCCAACATGGTGAAACCCCATCTGTACTAAAAATACAAAAAATTAGCCAGGCGTGGTGGCTCATGCCTGTAATCCCATCTACTTAGGAGGCTGGGGCAGGAGAATCACTTGAACACAGGAGATGTAGGTTGCAGTGAGCCAAGATCACACCATTCCACTCCAGCCTGGGCAACAAGAACGGAAACTCCATCTCAAAAAAAAAAAAAAAAAAAAGGAAAGAAAAAGGAAACTGATTAACTGAAGGGAAGAAGTGTAAGAATACAATATTTTGTAAAAGTTAAGAATGCAATACAGGTACTCAAAAAATAGACAAAAAAATTCTAATAAGGAACATTGAAAAAGAAGAGAAAAGAAAGGAATTAAACAATATAAATAAAGAAGTAAAATGGTTCAGAACAAAAAGTAAGGCAAGTAGACAATACACAAAGAATTGCATATGCATTATTGGATTTTCTGAAAAAGAAAGATAAAACAATGACACAATTAATATTTAAACCTATACTCTAAAAACACTTAAAAATTAGTAAAAACCTGAGTATATATATTAAAACATTCTACTGGGTGCCTAGGAAAATTAAGCACAACAATCAATTTCAAGATATTTTCTAGTACAACTGTTAGATTTTTAAGATAAAGAAACAATTTTCAAGGCTCAGGCACAGTGATTTGAAAACTCACGAACACAAAATTGCTTCTGTCATCAGGCTTTTCAAAAACCACAGAAAAACAAGGAACACGCAAATGCATCAACACTGTTTCTTGAAACTCAATGAAAGAAGGTATAAATATTTTATATCCAGTGCACTTATTATTCAAGTATCAAGTTTATAAAACAATCACTTTATGGATGTAAAAATGTAAGAAATGATTCTGTATCCATGAGGACATTTTCAGGAATCTGCCATTTATTTGTCAGCATTGTGTGCCTAAAGTTACTCCAAAGTAAAAAATTTAAAATGAGAAAGTAGTTTCAGAAAAATGTTTGAAGAAATAACTCTAGGAACCAACAAACATGTTTTGAATGTAATACTCTGTTAATTAGTAACATCAAGGGTAGTGGTGCTTATTGTTAACCATGATTATGCAAGTTAGAAATGCTGTAAAGAAATACCTGAGACTGAGGAATTTATAAAGAAAAGAAATTTAATTGGCTCAAGGTTGTGTAGGCTTCACAAGAAGCATCATAGTGGCAACAGCTTAGCTTCTAGGCAAGCCTCAGGAAATTTCCAGTCATAGTGGAAGATGGAGGAGAAGCAGACACATAAAAGAAAGATAAAGTTGGGGGAGGTGCCACAAACTTATAAATGAAGGGATCTGTAAATTCAGAGTGGGAACTCACTTACCACTAAAGAGATGGTCCAAGCCATTATGAGAGATCTGCCTCCATTCCAACAGCTCCCCCAGGCCTCAACTCACACATTGGAGATTACATACTCATATGAGATTTGGGCAAGGACGTATAAACTAACTATATCACTCCACCCCTGGCATCTTCCAAATGATTGTCCTTCTCATATTTCTAAATAGAATCATGACATCTCAATAGTATCCCAAAGTCTTACCTCATTTGAGAATTAACTCAAAAGCCTCAAGTCCAAAATCCAAAGTCTCATCTGAAAATGAGTTCCTTCCACCTAATGAGCCTATAAAATCAAAACAATTCATTTACTTCTAAGATGCAATGGGGGTGCATAAATTGGGTAAACATTCCAGATCCAAAAGGAATAACTGGACAAAAGAAAGGGGCTACAGGCTTCACACAAGTCGGAAATTCAGCATGACAGTCATTACATCTTAAAACTCCAAAATAGATTCCTTTGACTCCATATCCCACATCCAGGGCACACTGATGCAAGGGGTGAACCTCCAAGGCTCTGAGAAGCTCTGCCTGTCTGCCCCTGTTGAGGCAGGAGAATAAGGTGTGGAGGCAAGGAACATAAACCGATTTATGCTGACTTCCTAGAACTAAATCAAATGGAAGCACTTCAGCTATGACAGAAAATATCCTCTCCATTTACATAGGGCATACACCATGTAAATGACTTTGTAACTTAATCTTCTTCATTCACATAGAGCATACACTAAGTAACCAGGTGAAACCTCTAGAGTGTATTTAGACACCAGAAAATTCTGTAACAGAGCTCTTGGGCCCCTATGCTTGGGCCCACTTCCACACTGTGGAGTGTACTTTCATTTTCAGTAAGTCTCTGCTTTTGTTGCTTCATTCTTTACTGACTTTGTTTGTGAATTTTGTCCAATTCTTTATTCAGGATGCCAAGAACCTGCACACCCTCCAATGGTAACACTGTGGCATTGCAGAATTCAGCCACCATGGCTATTCTCGTAAGTTCTTGAGTTCCTGGAGCTTTCCCAGGTGCAGGGTAGAAGCTGCTGGTGGATTTAACATTCTGGGGTCTGGAGGCCAGTGGCCCCCTTTCCACAGCTCCAGTAGGCAGTGCCTAACTAGGGACTTCAGGCCCTCCAACCCCACATTTCCCCTCTGCACTTCCCTAGTAGAGGTCCTCTATAGGGGCTCTTTCCCTACAGGAGCCTTCTGCCTGGACATCCAGGCTTTTTTACACATCCGCTGAAGTCTAGGCAGAAGGTGTCAAGCCTAATTCACTCTTGCATTCCGTGCACCCACAGTCTTAGCACCATGTGAAACCACACAAGGCTTATAGCTTGCACACCCTGGACCTATGGCCTGAGCTATACCTAAGCCCCACTGAGCTGAGGCTGGAACAAGATCATCTATGATGCAAAAGCAATGTTCTGAGGCTGTGCAGGGAAGTGAGGCCCTGGACGTGGCCTATGAAACCATTCTTCCCTCCTAGGCCTCTGGGCCTGTGATGGGAGGGGCTGCCACAAAGGTCTCTGAAATGCCTTCAAGACTTTTTCCTGATTGTGTTAGATAGCAGCATCTGCCACCCTTTTAGTTATACAAATTCCTCTCACAATAAATTGCTCCACAACCTGCTTGAATTCCTCTCCTGAAAAAGCTTTATTTCGCTGCCACATGGCCAGGCTTCACATTTTCTAAACTTTTGTGTTCTACTTTTCTTTTTTAATATAAGTTCCAACTTTAAGTCATCACTCTGTTCCCACATCTGAGTCTAGGTTGTTAGAAGCAGCCAGGTCACTTGGCTGCATAGAAATTTCTTCTGCCAGATACACTAAATTATCACTCTTTAGTTCAAACTTCCTCAGACCCTAGGATATAAACAGAATGCAGCTAAACTCATTGCTAAGACATAACTCAAGTGACCTTTGCTCCAATTCCCAATGAGTTCCTAATTTCCTTCTCAGACCTTAGCAGACTGGACTTCACTGTCCATATTACTATCAACAGTTTGGGCACAATCATTTATCAGTCTCTAAGAAATTCCAAACTTGTCTTCATCTTCCTGTCTTCTTTGAGCCCTCCAAACTTGTCCAACTTCTGCCTGTTACGTGGATCCCAAGCTGCTTCCACATTTTCAGGGATCTTCATAGCAGTGTGCCAATAATCAGTACTAATTTTCTGTATTAAGCCATTGTTGCATTACTATAAGTAAATAGCTGACACTGGGTTATATATAGAGAAAAGAGATTTAATTGAATCATGGTTGTACATGTTTTAGAGAAACCATGGTCGTGGCATCCTTCTAAGGAGGCCTCAGGAAGATTGTTATCATAGCAGAAGATGAAGAAGGAAAATCACATGCACATGGAAAAAGAAGGAGTAAGTGAGAGAGAGTCGGGAAGGGAGAGAGAGAGTAGTGGGGGAGGTGCCACACATTCTTAAATCACCAGAACTCATGTGAACTCAGAACAAGAGCTCACTTATCATCAAGGAGATGGCCTAAGCCATTAATGAGGAATCTGCCCCCATAATCCAAATACTTCCCATGAATACCCACTTCCAACACTGAGGAATAACATTTCAATGTAAAATTTGAGCGGGGGCAAATATGCAGTATATCACTGACAAACATCTGCAAGCATCAGAACAAGTGAGGAAAACATGACCTCACCAAATGAACTAAATAGTCACCAGGGACCAATCTTGGGAGCAGCAGAGATACGTAAACTTTTAGACAGAGAAATCAAAATAGCTATGTTGAGGAATCTCAAAGAAATTCAAGATAACACACAGAGAGAATTCAGAATTCTAACAGAAAAATTTAACAAAAAGAATAAAATAATTAAAAGAATCAAGCAGAAATTCTGCAGCTGAAAAATGTAATTGGACTATTGAAGAATATTTCAGTATCTCTAACTTTTAGAACTGATCAAGCAGAAGAAAGTATTACTGAGCTTTAAGACAGGCTATTTGAAAATACACATCAAAGAGACAAAAGGAAAAATAATAATAATAAAGCATGCCTCAAATATCTAGAAAATAGCTTGAAAAGAGGAATAATAAGAGCTTTGGCCTTAAAGAGGAGGTAGACAGGAATAGGGGTAGAAAGTTTATTCAAAAGATAACATCAGAGAACTTCCCAAAATTAGAGAAAGATATCAATATTCAAGTAAAGAAAGTTATAGAATACCAAACAGATTTAATCTAAAGAAAACTACCTCAGGGTATTAAATAATCAAACTCCCAAAAATGAAGGATAAAGAAAGCTTCCTTAAAGCAGCAAGATGAAATAAACACAAAACATATAATAGAGCTCCAGTATGTCTAGTCCAGACTTTCAGTGAAAACATTATGGGCCAGCAGACAGTGTTATGATATATTAAAACTGCTAAAAAAAATACAGCCCACTTTCACAATTGAACACCATTGGACACATCTTCCAGACAGAAAATAAATAAACATAGAACTTAATCTGTGCTATAGAACAAATGGGCCTAATAGGTATTTACAGAACATTTCGTCCAGTGGCCGGAGAATACACATTTTTCCCCTCAGCACTTGGATCATTCTCAAGGATAGACCATATGTTAGGTCACAAAACAAGTATCAGAACATCCCAAAGATTTGAATTAACTTCAAACATGTTCTCTGACTACAATTTAACTAGAAATCAATAAGAAGAGGAATTTTGGAAACTGTATAAACACATGGAAATTAAACAATAGGTTGCTAAATGATCTTTGAGTGGTGTTGGGCCTGAGGGTGCACAGAAGTCAACAATTTAGGTTTGGAAACCTCCACCTAGATTTCAGAGAATGTATGAAAATGCCTGGATGCCCAGGCAGAAGTTTACTGCAGGGGTGGCGTCCTCATGGAGAACCTCTGCTAGATAGGGCAGTGTGGAAAGGAAATATGGGGTTGGAGGCACCACAAAGAGTCTGCACTGGGACACTGCCTAGTTGAGCTGTGAGAAGAGGGCGACCATTCTCTAGTCCCCAGAATGGTAGATCCACAAACATCTTGCAGTCACTCAATGCCAGCCTGTGAAAGCAGCTGGAAAGGTAGGTGTTACTCTGCAGGGGCAGAGCTTCCCAAGGCCATGGAAGCCAACCTCTTGCGTCAGCATGCCCTGGATGTGAGACATGGAATCAAAGGAGATTGTTTTGGAAGTTTAAGTTTTAATGACTGCTCTTTTGGATTTCAGATTTGTGTGGGACATGTAGCCCCTTCGTTTTGGCCAATTTCTTCCATTTGGAATGGCTGTATTTACCCTATGCCCATACCTCCATTGTATCTAGGAAGTAACTAACTTGCTTTTGATTTTACAGATTCACAGATGGGAGGTACTTGCCTTGTTTCAGATGAGGCTTTGGATTTGGACTTTTGGGTTAATACTGGAATGAGTTAAGACTCTGGAGAACTTTTGAAAGGGCTGGGTTTTGAAATGTTAAGACATGAAATTTAGGAGGGGATGTGGAAAAATGATATGGTTTGGCTTTTTGTCCTCACCCAAATCTCATTTTGAATTGCGATCGTGTAATCCCCACATATCATGGGACAGACTCTGTGGAGGTAATTGAATAAGGAGCAGTTTCCCCTATGCTGTTCTTGTGATAGTGAGTGAGTCTCACAAAATCTGATTGTTTTATAAGGTTCTGGCATTTCTCCCACTTGCTTTCATTCTCTCTCCTGCCACCCTGTGAAGAAGTACCTTCTACCATGATTATAAGTTTCCTAAGCCCTCCCAAGCCATGCAGAACTGTGAGTCAATTAAACCGCTTTTCTTTATAAATTGCCCAGTCTCAGGTATTTCTTCATAGCATCATGCAAATGTACTAACACAGTAAATACTTGTGATGGTTAATATTGTGTTGATTGGATTGCAGGATGCAAAATATTGTTCCTGGGCATGTCAGATGGGGTGTTGTCAAAGGAGATTAACATTTGAGTCAGGTACTGGGAGAGGCAGACATACTCTCAGTCTGGGTGGGTACAATCTACTCAGCTGCCCGCATGGCTAGAATAAATCATGAAGAAGAAGTTGGAAAGAGCAGACTTGCTGAGTCTTGCAGCCTTTGTCTTCCTTCCATGCTTGATGCTTTCTGTCCTTGAACATCAGACTCCAAGTTCTTCAGCTTTTGGACTCGTATACTTACACCAGTGGTTTGCAAGGGGCTCTTGGGCCTTTGACCACAGACTGAAGGCTGCACTGTCAGCTTTCCTACTTTTGAGGTTTTGGGACTCAGACTGGCTTCCTTGCTCCTTGGCTTGCAGACAGCCTAATGTGGGACTTCACCTTGAGATTGTGCAAGTCAATACTCCTTAATGAACTGTACTTCATATATACATGTATTCTATTAGTCCATTCCTCTAAAGAACCCTGACTAATATACCCAAGAATGGAAGGATGGTTCAACGTATGCAAATCAATCAATTAATGTAATACATTATATCAACAGAATGAGGGATAAAAAAGATATGATCATTTCAATTAATGCTGAAAAAGTGTTTGATGTAATTCAACAACACTTTATAATAAAAAACCTCAAAACACTGAGTATAGAGGAAACACACCTCAGCATAATAAAATATATGTATGACAGTACCACAGCTGTTATTATGCGGAATGGGGGAAAACTGGAAGTCTTTTGTCTAAGATCTGGAACATAACAAGGTTGCCCACTGTCACCACTGTTTCTCAACATAGTCCTGGAAATGTCAGCTAGAACAATCATAGAAAAAAAATTAAGGTCATCCAGTTTGGAAAGGAAAAAATCATATTATCCTTCTTTGCAGTTAATATGATCTTATATTTGGAAAAACCTAAAGCCTCCACCAAAAACCTATTAGAACTGATAAATAAATTCAGTAAAGTTGCAAAATACAAAATCAACATACAAAAATCAGTAGCATTTCTATATGCCAACAGTGAACAATCTGAAAAAGAAAATTTAAAATTTAATCCCTTGTACAATGGCCACAAATAAAATTAAATACCTGGAAATTAACTTTACTAAATCTGGGAAAGATGTCTACAATTAAAACAATAAAACACTGGTGAAAGAAATTGAAGAGGACACAAAAAATTGAAAAAATATTGTATGTTCATGTGTTGAAAGAATCAATATTGTTAAAATGTCCACACTAATCAAAGCAATCTACAGATTCAATGAAATCACTATCAAAATATCAATGACATTCTTCACTGAAATAGAAAAAAGTCTTAAAATTTATATGAAACCACAGAAGACCCTATATAGCCAAAGCTATTCGAAACACAAAGAACAAAACTGGAAAAATTATATTACCTTACTTCAAATTATACTACAGAACTCTAGTAACCAAAACAACATGGTACTGTCATAAAAACAGACACACAGATCAATGGACCAAAATAGAGAACTAAGAAAAAAATCCATTAATCTATGCTGAATTCATTTTTGACAGATGCCAAGAACCTCCATTGGTGAAAAGACAGTCTCTTTAATGAATAGTTCTGGGGAAACTGGACATCTGTATGCATATTAATGAAAGTAGACCCCGTATCTCTTGCCATATACAAAAATCAAATCAAAATAGACTAAAGATTTAAATCCTAGACTTCAAATTATGAAACTACTAAAAGATAACATTGGGGAAAGTCTCTAGGACATTGTTCTGGGCAAAGATTTCTTGAGTAACACCCATAAGAATAGGGAACCAAAGCAAAAATGGACAAATGTGATCACATCAAGTTAAAAGCTTCTGTAAATTGTGTTAGTGAGGAATGACATTAGTATTTCAATAGCAAAGGAAACAAAGTGAAGAGAAAATGCACAGAATGGGAAAAAACATTTGCCAAATATTTGTTTATAAGAGATTAATATTTGGAACTTATTATAAAAGAAACTCAGACAAATCTATAGGAAAAAAATCTAGCAATCTGATCCAAAAATAGGTCAAAGATCTGAATAGATATACAAATGGCAAACAGGAATATCAAAAGGTGCTCTGCATCATTGATCATCAGACAAATGCAAATCAAAACTACAGAGATATCATATCCTAGTTAAAATGGTTTTTATGTCAGTGAGGAAGTGGAGAAAAATGAACACTTGCACACTGTTGATGGGAATATAAATTAGTACAACCACTGTGGACAACAGTTTGTACACTTCTCAAAAAAGTAAAAATAGAACTACCATGTGATCCAGCAATCCCACTGCTAGGTAAGATAAAGAAAATCATAATATAGAAGACGTATGTGCACCCCCATGTTTATTTCAGCACTTTTCACAGTAGCCAAGATTTGGAGCAACCCTAGTGTTCATCAACAGACAAATGGATAAAGAAACTGTGATACATATACACAATGGAATTCTACTATTCGCTCATAAAAAAATGAGATCCTGTCATGTGCAACAATATAGATAGAACTAGAGGTCATTATGTTAAGTGAAATAAGCCAAGCATCAGAAGAAAAACTTCACATGTTCTCACACTTACATACTATATGCCCTTTAGATATTATTTGTGGAAGCTAAACATTAAAATAATTGAATTCATGGAGATAGAGAGTATAGGGATATTTACCAAAGGCTGGGAAGAATAATGGAGGTGTGTGTGTTGGAGGAGGTGGGGACAGTAAGCATGGTTAATGGCACAATAAAATAGAAGGAATGAATAAGACTTAGCATTTGCTAGCACAACGGGGTGACCATAGTTAATAATAAATTTAATTGCACATTTTAAAATAACTAAAGGAGTATAATTGAATTGTTTGTAACACAAAGGATAAATACATGCAGAGACAAATATGTCATTTAACTTGATGTGGTTATTATGCATTGCATGTCTGTAACAAAGTATGTCATGTACCACAAAAATATAAACACATATTATGTAACAACAAAAATCAAAATTTAAAATTAAAAAAATAAAATTTATAAAATAAAATGCTTTTGAATATTATAATTTTATAATTAATTCATTAGTTTCCAAATAATCAATGACAAATACAAATGTATTTAAAAATATTTTATGAATTAGTCATTTTCTAATACAAGGTTGCATGGACATGTAGGGGAAATAATACTTTAGATTTTTGCAGAAATGACAAACACAAAATCTCACCCTTAATGGAAACTTGTGAATACAGGATTACATTTACCTCATAGCAATATGTTCTTGTAAATGGAATAGTAACAAATTTAAAATTAAATTCACACCATTCCTTTATAGAAAATATGAGGAAATGATATGTCTCAGTATTTTGTTTTGTGTTTTTTTTGTTGTTGTTGTTCTCTTCTCCAACTTTAGTACAATTTCTGAGTACTGCGCTCAACTTCTTTGTCAAATTTCTCTCTGTTTAGTTGCAACCCACGTGCAAGAGGCTCTATCATGATTTATGCAGGATTCACCAGGATGAGAAAAGCAAAGTCATATATTTATTGCTTTCTAACTGAGCATCCATCATCCAGACATTTTACATACTATATGCCCTTTAGATATTTACAACACAATAACATTTATCTTGGATGTAACAGGCTCATATTCATGAAACAACTGTATAGTTCAACTTAACTGCAGCAAAAGTATAAATTTTAATAACAAGGAGAGAGTATGAATCTTAGGGTAAGATGCACATGGCTTCAAATCCTCCAAATCCATCCTTTAAAAACTGTCTCCATAGAGTTTCTGAACACAGAAGACTTATTCCTCATATATGAGCTAATGCATAACATATTTAAAAAATAATCAAACAAATAAAATCAACCAAAAAATCTTTTCTGTCAGCACTGATGTTTCTTGGTATTAGACATTTTTAATCATTTTTTAGCTGTAATTACAGAATATAGATTATAGGATACATATAAAATTTCATGCCATGTAAAGAGATGCAATACCTCTTGTCACATGTTTCTTCCCCTGGCTCGTTCACATATTCTGAGGACTTAAAAATATCTTTTTTTTTTTTTTTTTTTTTTTTGAGACGGGGTCTCGCTCTGTCACCAGGCTGGAGTGCAGCGGCGCAATCTCGGCTCCCTGCAACCTCCGTCTCCTGGGTTCAAGCGATTCTCCTGCCTCAGCCTTCCGAGTAGCCGAGACTACAGGCACGCGTCACCACGCCCGGCTAATTTTTGTATTTTTAGTAGAGACTTTAGTAGAGATTTCACCATGTTGGCCAGGATGGTCTCGATCTCTTGACTTCGTGATCCACCCGCCTCAGCCTCCCAAAGATCTGGGATTACAGGCGTGAGCCACCGCGCCCAGCCAAAAATATTCTTTTCATTAGACTTCAATGGGTAATATGAAAAACCAAATAGTCACACAGTGTTTCATTACTTTAGGACTGTTATTGGATATTGCTAGCATATTGTTTAAAAAGTTTGACAGGTTCTGAAATACTGGCTGGGTCATCGTTATTTGTCCTCTAGAATATTTCTAGAGTTTTGAATTTGAAAAGCACCATACATAGGGTTTTCTATTTTATTTCAGTCAGAAGTATTAAAAGTACTACTATCAGTATGATTTCATTAATCATGTAATATTTTATCAACAAAATATAGAAAAAGATATACAGAACAGTAATTTAAGTCAAATAACTTTATGGAACACTTAAAATAATGTCTTTATTTTTATCTTTATGAATCAGTGGTGAATATTGTCCTTTATAAGTCAGAATGATCTACTGAACAGACTTTCTCAATCACTCACCTAGACCAAACTAAAGTGTGTGTCCTCCCCAAATTCCTGTCCTCCCCTTGCAGGTATTCATTACTCCAAATTCAAGACTTCATCAGTAAAACATATTTTAGTTCTACAGACACCAACCATGAAAGTACTTTCAGTAATAAGCTTGCTGGCATTCTGATAATACAGCACTTTAAACTTGTTCCTGGTGGAATTATTTTGTTGAGAATTTAGACTTATTTTTTTCAGCACCACCTGAAAGTATACATTGTCTTGCAAAGTCGCTTTTTGACTTTCTGTCTTCCTGTTCTGGAATGTAAGCACTATTAGACCAGTGATTTTTGTCTTTTTTGTTTGTGTCTTCATCCTCTAGATGAGGAAAGCACTCACTTCTAGGGAGTATTCAGTAAGTATTGAAGAAATTTTTTACATTAAATGAGTACTTAGTAGTATCTCATATCACATGTCATTTGGTCATTAATTTATCTTTTTAATCATTATCTATATATTATAAAGAAAAAAGAAAAAAACTTCTGACATCATTTTTTCACACCACAGTTGATTCATTTTTGGCATGTATTTATATGTTGGGCACATTAGAGTATCTATGCGTGTAGAACTAGTAGTCAAAAAGAGTTAGCATATTCCAAAACTCAGTTAAACATTAGAAACAGCCCCAAGAAGCTGTAGCTAGAGATGTTATGCATTTATGTTACACAGGAACTGTTATAGAATCTGTGTTTCGACCCAACTGGGGATACGCTTCATATAAAATTAAGTGGTGTATAAAATAAAATCAATATATATTTTATATCAAAGGGTTAAAGACAGATGAAAGGATACAGAGGTAACAGCCAAAAAAAACCCTGAAAACTTTAATGTCTATGCTGTAGCAAGAATTTTTAATGGATTTGAAGTAAATAGAGCCTCCTTTTGATGCAGCTGCCAAAGACTCTGTAGTTCAAGTGAATTGTCAGTAACTAAAAATGACACGAGTGATGTTCTGAAAATAGTCTGGAGACCCTGATAAGGAAATGGCCTCACAGCAGACATCATTGTGGAATAAGCACAAAGTGGGACTCAGGCTAAGACTAAGAGGAATTCAGTCATGAAAGAAGACAATTACCAAATGAAGTGGAGAGGAAGGATGTTGAGTCTTTACAGAATTAAAATTCCCCATTGTCTTGACTTATGAAAGGAAAATAAAATTAATCTCAGAACTCCACTGCTGAACATGAGTAGACAAATTTATAAAATTATTTTAGAGCAATGAATAAAATAAATAGTATTACTTTTATATTATGTCCTCAGTTTTTTCAAGTCAATTATTTATTAGCATTTGACTATTATTTTGTAAGCCATAAAATATGCTATGAGTCCATGTACAGAATATTATCAGACTGGTTGTGTTATTGCAATCAGAGATGTGTAGACCATCCCGTGCAGTGTTGGCAGGACATCCCGTACATCATGAATTTCCACTCCCCTCTGCTTGCTGTGTGTGGGTTAACTAATAAATACTCCATCTTAATCTTGCAAGCCATTTGATAAAGGCATTTTGCAGAATGTCATCTGTCAATTCTTTCCAAAATCCTCTAATTCTTCCTTGAAAGTGACCACTAAAAATTTCGGAAGATTACTAAAATGAAGTTGATTGTATTTGTCTTGCCAAAATAATTGTGTCTATCATGTTTACTTAAGCAAATTACAGAGAAAAATGAAGCGTATATTTAATGAAAGAAGTTTCAGAATCAGATTTGTTCAAGAAAGGTGACTTTGTTTCTTTCAATTATCTTAAAAATCCAATCCTGAATTTCTAGTAAATTAATTTTAATTGATGTTTGATTCAAGCTTTTAAGACTAAATAATTATATACAGCTTTCTGAATTAGATAGTATCATCTTGGAATCATAGTATTATGAGACTAGTAAAGATAACGAGCATAATTTAAAATATTCCTTAAGAAATTCCAGGAGAGTTTAATATGTTCACATATGTACATACATAAAATAAATGAAGGGTACTCGATTTAAACGCTGGAGGAAGGACATGGACAAAATTATACAGAAAATTTTATATTGTTCTGGATATTTTGTATATATAATTAAAATATAGGTGTGTTATATAATGAAAATATGGGGGGGTGTATGTGCGCATGTGCACACACATTTTAACTTCAAATTCCAATACACAGAAATGAGAGCATTAATAAGAATTTTACAGTTTTGGTTAGAAATAACAACGTTGCAAGAGTCAATCCTCTCATTCTAACAAAGAGTAAAAGCAATATAATTTGCAAAATCTTATTTTTATAAATATATGTGTGTATGTATCTGTTTATTTTTACCATTGGAATGATGAAGACTCAAAGAAGCCTAAATAAATCAATACATTTTAAATGAGATGTGCAGATTCTCGAACAGAAATCTGTGGCAACTTTCATCACTGTGGTCACTGGGTGAGCAGAGGGGCAAACACGTTAGTGCCCTTTTTAAAGCCACAAATAGCTTGTTGTGAAGGGTGAGATTCTGAGACCGGTACATATAGCATGTCCAAGTCCACCAGCCAGTTCTTTCCCAGAGCTTTCAGCGGTGTGTGGCTTCTGCGCACCACAGGCAGAAGGCAGGACAGGAGGGCTTGGAGAAGCCCATTCACAGGTGACCAGGTGTTTATCATGTGACGCAAGGTCGCAGATCGTCAAAGGCTGGGGCAGGGCAGAGAAGCTGAGAAGGACCTCATCAAGTAAGACACGTAGGGTCCATACCATATAATAAAAGGATTGGAACAGGGCAGATCTGAGAGAGAATCACTGGGCCTCCATGGCTTCCATCCCAGGCGGATATATGGAGGCGAAAGGGTGGGTGTTTCAGCGGCTGCTCTTTCCTACCACATACCTGTAGATTATCCAACTAGGAAACCGCAATGCCTGGGTTCTCACAGTGGCCAATGAACAAACTAGAAGCAACTTCCTCCTCTCATCCTAAGACAGAATGTCCATGTAATTCAGCGAGCTTCTCTTCCATTACATGGGGCTGGCATCAGTAGTGATGTGACTGAACTCCCTTGGAATATATTTTAATTCTCGATAGATTTTTTCTTGTTTTTTACTAATAAAGTCAAAGCATCATTTAATAAACACACTATGTAGAGCATGTTGTGCAGCTCTAGCTGAGAAGGAAAGTTAAGGTTGTTAATTGTCCTTTCACAAATGCTTTTATGAACTAGCCCAGATTTGCTTTAACACAAGCAGTAGAACTTGGCTAATTGCACGTGCCATCCTCAGAGGAGTTAATAAGAAATAGGTCTTGATAATTAAGATTTTTTAGCAATTTTATTTTGTTTAATGAGGTCAAAATGGACACAAAAACAGTTAATTTGGTATCTATTTAACTTGTTCATGGTATAGAATTTTTAAAAACTGGCCTGCTAGAATTTTGATTAGGATTGCATGAAATTTATAGATTAATGTAGGGAATACTGACATTTTATTTATACTGACTTGATTTCATAACTATGGTATTTATATAAACTTTTCCTTAATCTAGATATTCTTTAACTTTATTCAGTAATGCTTCTTAATTTTCAATATTCATTTATTGCACATATTTGGTTATATTTATCCTAAAGTATTATATTTTTCAAATATTTCCCTACATTGCATTGTTTTAATTTTATTTTCCAACTTTTTACTTTTATTGTAGAGAAATAAGTGAATTTTATATAATAATGTGTTAACTTGTAACTTTGCTACAATTACTTACAAGTTCTGCTTTTTTTAAGATTTTCTACATGCACGATCATATAATTCTTCTTTCCAATATGTACTGCTTTTATTTACTTTATTTGACTTACTGCAATAGCCAAGATCTTCAATAATATATAGAACATAGGTAATGATAGCTATTACTTTGTATTTTTCTTGATCTCAGGAGAAACTAGTCGATCTTTCACTAGTAAGTTTAATGTTAGCTCCTAGCTTTTTATAGCATTCTAAATAGCTTTAGGAAGTTCCACTCCATTATTGGCTAGGATTTAGCATCATGATCAGATGCTGAATTTAGTTATTATGTCTACTTATAATTAGATCATTCTAAGAATTTTTTCTCATTTATTATATTAATATGTTGAACTGTCTTCATTAATTTTTCTCTTTTCTTTTATTTGTATAAATTTTAGGCGTATAATTGCTGTTGTTACATGAATATATTGCAAAATGATAAAGCCCAGTGTTTTAGTGTAACCATCACCCAAATAAGGTACAGTGAACCCATTAAGTAATTCTGTTTTTTTTTTTTTGTTTTTTTTTTGAGACAGAGTCTCGCTGTCACCCAGGCTGTAGTGCAGTGGTGCGATCTCGGCTCACTGCAAGCTCAGCCTCCTGAGTTCATGCCATTCTCCTGCCTCAGCCTCCCGAGTAGCTGGGACTACAGGTGCCAACAGGCCTGGCTATTTTTTATTTTTATTTTTATTTTTTATTTTTAGTAGAGACGGGGTTTCATCGTGTTAGCCAGGATGGTCTCCATCTCCTGACCTCGTGATCCACCCGCCTCGGCCTCCCAAAGTGCTGGGATTATAGGCGTGAGCCTCCGTGACCTGCCACCTTTAAGTAATTCTTATCCCTCTTCCCCTCCGCACTCTCCCAGCCTTCTTAGTCTCCAGCATTTATTACTCCTCATTTTGTCCATGTGCATGCATTATTTAGCTTTCACTTGTGAGAGCATGAGGTGTCCGTTTGAGTTGTTTCCCTTACGATAATGGCATCCAGTCTCATCCATGTTGCAGCAATTTTTTCTTCTTTATAGTTGAATAGTGTTCAATTATATACATACATGTATAATAGAATACATATATAATAGAATATATAAGGTTGGTGCAAAAGTAATTGTGGTTTGCCATAACATTAAAAGTAATGGCAAAAACCGCAATTACTCTTACACCAAACTAAATATATATGCCATATATTCTTTATCTTTTTACGCATTGATGGACACTTAGAATTAAAGACTAATTCTAAATCTTTGCTATTGTGAAGCAAAACATAAACATGATAAACATATGAGTGTGGTATGTTTTTAATATAGCATATGAGCTGTGATACACATATGAGTGCAGTATATTTTTAATGTAACAATTTCTTTTCTTTTGAATAGACACCACTAGTGAAATTGCAGGATGGAAGGATAATTCTATTTTCAGTTTTTTAAGAAATCTCCATACTGTTTTCTATAGAGGTCGTACTAACTTACAGGCCCACCAACAGTGTGTAAGTATTCAGTTTTCCTTTTATCTTCGCCGATATCGGTTACTGTTTGACTTTTTGTGATAGCCATTCTGGCATAAGACACATTAATTGATTTTTAATATTAAAGCAACTTGCATTCCTGGGATACACTCTACTTAATCACCATTTTCTTCAATTACATATATAACTGAATTTCATTTGCTAAAATTCTGTAAAGGCTTTTTGGCAGGACTTTATTTTTTTTTCTACTTTGTATTTCTTAGTCTACGTTTGATATAAGTGAAACACTTGCCTCATAAAATGATCTGGGAGGGTTTTTAATGTCCCCTATATTATTGAAGAGTTTGTGTTACATGAGTATCATTTCTTTCTTAAGTATTCGACAAAATTCACAAGCAAATACATCAATGGCTACTGCTTTTTTTTGTGGGAATAATTTTAAATAAACATTTAAAGTCTATAATAGATATAGGTTTTTGAGATTGTCTATTCTATAGCCATTTTTTAAAAGTCTCAACTTTTGAATAAACTTGTCAGTTTCTTCAATGTTGTTAAGTCTATTAGATTAAATTGTTCATATTTTCTCATTAACCTGTTAATGTGTAAGGATTGTAAGAACGTTCCTTCTTTCATACTATGGTATCTCATTTTAGTTTTAATAGGCTCTGATGATCAGCGATGTTGAGCTCTTTTTCATGTGTTTGTTGGTCGCATAAATGCCCTCTTTTGAGAAGTGTCTGTTCATATGCTTTGCGCACTTTTTGATAGGGTTTTTTTTTCTTGTAAATTTGTTTAAGTTCCTTGTAAATTTTGGATATCGGACCTTTGTCAGATGGGTAGATTGCAAAAATTTACTCCCACTCAGTAGGGTGCCTGTTCACACTGATGATAGTTCCTTTTGCTAAGCAAAAGCTCTTTAGTTTAATTTGATCCCATTTGTCAATTTTGGCTTTTGTTGCAGTTGCTTTTGGTGTTTTTGTCATGAAGTCTACTATAAAGACATATGCACACGGATATCTATTGCAGCACTATTTACAATAGCAAAGACATGGAACCAACCCAAATGCCCATAATGATAGACTGGATAAAGAAAATGTGGTACATATACATCATGGAATACTATGCAGCCATAAAAATAAATGAGATCATGTCCTTTAGGAACAGAAAACCAAATACCACGTGGTCTCACTAATAAGTGGGAGTTGAACAATGAAAACACGGACACAGAGAGGGGAACAACACACACCAGGGCCTGTTGGGGGATGGGGCTGAGAGAAGAGAACTTAGAGGGCAGGTCAATAGGTGCAGCAAACCACCATGACACACGTATACCTATATAACACACCTGCACGTTGTGCACATGTACCTCGTTTTCTTTTAGAATAAATTATATATAAAAATATATAAATATAGAATAAATTTATATTACACACACACACACACACACACACACACATATATATATGTAGAGTGCTTTAGTTTGCTTCCTTTTATGTAGAGTGCTTTAATTTGCTCTTGCTTTTGTAGTGCCTGAAGGCAAAAATTTAGGTTATTGTTTGGGGACCATTCTTTTCTATGACTTAAATTTTGATGTTTTTTCATTTATATTTAGTTCAATATACATTCTAATTTATTTTGTAATTTCTTCTTTAACTTTGGATTAAACATGTCTTATTTAATATCAAACTATTTAAGATTTATCCCAGATATCTTGTGGTAATTAATTTTTAATTATTCTGTCATAGAATATTGTTGGAAAAGAATATACTTTACATTATTTCAAGTTAAAAAAATTTAATGAAGCTTATTTTATTGAACATCATATAGTCTAGTCTTGGTAAATATCATTTGTTTTCTTAAAAAAGTTTGCTTATTCTGATATCATTGGGTGGAATATTCTACAAATGTCAATTAGGTCATGTTATTTTAAAATGTTGTTCAAGATTTCTATACCTATACTAATTTTGTTTGTTTGTTTGTTTCACAGCAGAGTCTCACCCCGTCACTCAAGCTGATGTGTAATGGCACAATCACAGCTCACTGCAGCCTCAAACTCCTGGGGTCAGGCTGTCCCCCATCTCAGCCTCAGGTGTGGCTAGGACACAGGCAGGCAACATCATGCCGAGAGAATTTTAAAAAATTTTTGTAGAGACAATATCTCGCTATGTTGCCTAGGTTAGTCTCAAATGCCTGACCCTAAGAGACCCTCCTATCCCAGCCTTCCTCCGAAAGCACTGGGATTATAAGCCTGAGCCACCAAGCTCAGCTACATATATTAATTTTTGATCCATTTGTTTTATCCATTATTGAGGGGGGACAATTAAAATTTCCAGCTAGCTGTGTGAATTTTTCCATTCCTTCAAACAATTTTATTAGTTTTTGTTTCTGTATTTATAAGTCTAAGTGCTTGAATATTTAGTGTTGTTGATTTTCTTGATGAATTCACCCACTTAACATGACTGCCTCTCAAATCCTGTGTAATTTGGAAAAAGCTAAAATGTATTTTTTATAATATGTTGGCACTCCAGCTTATTTATGATTATGTACAATATATATTTTCCATTATTTTATGTTTAAATATGTGTATTTTTAATTAATGTGGTGTTCTTGAAAACCACACATTTTGGGGTGTTCATTTTTCTCCAATTTAAAAATCTTTGCTTTCCAATTAGTGTTTACTACATTTATAAGTAATGTAAATATTGATATTATTTATTTGACCTTATTGCTATTATTATTCAGTGTAACCATCCATTCTTTTTCTATTTTTCCCTCTCCTCCTGACTTTTTTTGAATGAATACTGTATTAGTTTGCTATGGCAGCCATAACAGAGTACCATAGACTAGGTGGCATAAACAGCAGAAATTTACTTCTAGTCTTGGAGGATAGAAGTCTGAGATCAGGGTGTCAGCAGCACTGGTTTCTTCTGAGGCCTCTCTCTTTGGCTTGTAGACATCCATCTTCTCCTTGTGTCTTCACATGATCTTACCTCTGGGCATGTTTGTATTCTTATTTTTACTTACGTGGATATCAGTCATATTGGATTAGGGCCCACTATAATGACATTATTTAAATTTACTTACCTTTTTAAATAATCTATCTCCAAATACAGTCACATTCTGAGGTAGTGAGGGTTACAACATCAACATATAAATTTTGGAGGGATATAGTTTTACCCATACAATATATATATATATATATTTAGGATATATATATATATGTGTATATATATATATATATCTTTAGGATTCCATTTAATTTTTTCTATTACATTTTTTACTACCTCACAATATGTAATTTATTTCTTCATTTTTAACCTATAATTTAACATTTACATATTTATCTTACCATACCTTCAATTAATATTTTCCTAACTTAATATAAGACAATAAAACAAGGGTCTTTTATTTCTCTTCTCTGTCAGTTATACTCTAGCTGTTAGATAATACTTTGCGTGTGTTAGAAACTTCAAATACATTGTTATTTTTGCTTCAAAATGTATTGAGATGATGGTCAATACAAAACCTCAGGCAGAAAGTGCATATATTTTTGAGTTATGTTGCACAGCGTGGTGAATATAGTTAGTAATAATATTGTACATTTAAAAATTGCTAAGAGTGGTAAATTTCAATGTTCTTATTGCAAAAAATTGTTAAATATTTGAGGTTACAGATGTGTTGACTTTAATTATTCCACATTATATTTATAAATCATAACATCACTTTGTACCCCATATATTTATACAGTTATAAATCATCAATTTACCATAAAATAATTGCTTTTAAATAAAAAATAAAATGATAGATATTTCTCTTAAAACTAAGCTTTTTTTTACACACATTAGTGCAGTAATCATGTTAATAATAGCATTTTATAGACTTTGTCTAATTTCAGCATCCCTACTATGGATGGTAGGGCATAATAACTAATAATAAGAAAGAAAACGGCCAGATGCAGTGGCTCACACTTGTAACTCCAGCACTTTGGGAGGCCTAGGTAGACTTATCACAACATCAGGAGTTCAAGACCAGCCTGGCCAACATGGTGAAACCCCATCTCTACTAAAAATACGAAAAATTAGCCGGATGTCGTGGCGGGCACCTGCAATCCCAGCTACTCAGGAGGCTGAGGCAGGAGAATCACTTGAACCTGGGAGGTGGAGCTTGCAGTGAGCCGAGATTGCACCGCTGCACTCTAGCCTGGGCAACTGAGCGACACTCCATCTCAAAAAAAACAAAAACAACAACAAAAAAAAAAAGAAGAGAGAGAGAGAGAAAGAGAATACGAGTGAAGTAAGCAAACAATGGTATGGAGGTGGAATTTCACAATAACTTAGTATTTAGCATAAGTTCAAGGAGAACATCATACTGATTTCTGGAGCTCCTTCATTGCATGTCACCCTTCTCTGTGTTATATGCCTAACAGATTACAGTCATTCTTCACAAAATGTGGTCTTTGTCCTATCAAGTAAATAGGACCACCATGTCTTACTCCCCATCCCATGAACCAAAATGTGTTTCTAGGCAGAAAATCACCATAGAGCTCACTTCAATAGTTTTCTTTCTTTTGGGGATCACAGTCTGTGCTGAATCTTCTTCAATGCCCTCTCCAGCGGAAACTGTTGTTTTATATTTTGTGTGGGAAATTTCGTTTGTTTATTGTGGTAAGTTAATTCTAATTTATTATGATTGATTCATGATGGTTGATAAGAGCTACTAAAAATAAATCTTCAAGCATTTTAACAATTAAATTAAGTATAACACTGCACTATTTTCCCAAGATGATGAATGTAAAGGTCTTCTGTTGTATAAGTTTTATAATCAATAAAATATGAACGTAATGACTATTGAAGAAAGAGTTTTAAATTTATACCAACTAAGATATCTGATATTTGAGCCAAAGTGGAGGTGCTTTTATATTTATTTTTATTGTAATTAATCTAAAGTAATTAAGATTTAATTTTACTTAAACATTTTTGTAAAAAAAAAATCACCTGAAAATTTGAAAGTCCTCTGAGATAAGATTTTGGAAGAATTGTTTAATATTTGTAATTTTGGGGATTTTATATAATCAAATATTTATTTTATATTTAAAATATAAATTATTATTTTCTTACTTTTACATCTTTTATGTAAAAGAACAGGAAGAGAATTGTGTGTCTTATTATAACTAAGAGAATAAAGAATGAGTCATAAAACTCCTTCTGAGAGATTAATAACAAAATGATGAATAAAAAATCACTTCTGGAAACCTGGTAATAATTCTGTAAGTAACACAAATCAAATAAATAATCCAATGAGAAAAATATGAAACAAACAAAATGAGAATTCTCAATATATGATTTTAAGCTAAAATTAAACTTAAAGAAAATGTATAGTCATAAATCCACATGCAAAATGAGAAAAATGTGATGAAATAAATGAATCTCTCCAAAGAAGTTTGAAGAGGAATCACAGATTAAATGCAAAGTGAATCAATATAAAAGCAAAAAATAGAATATCAGAAATTAGTAAAATGGAAAATAAATATATATTGCAAAGAATCAATAAAATAAAAATTCAGATCTCTCAAAAGCCTCATGAAAATAATACATACTTAGCAACAGTATTTAGTAAAAGGTGATAACTTATAGTGAACAGAAAAAAAGGGGAATGTCACTGTAGATCTTAAAGATTTAAACATGCAATCAAGTTATTATAAAAAATTGTGCCTGTATATTTTGAAATACAGATTCAATGACAGAATTGTTAGACAAGAACAACTACTGACGATTGCACAAAAATAGTGGAAAACCTTGAAATTTCCATATTTGTTAAAAAATATAAATTTGTATTTGCGCAATTTCTAAAAAGTATTTCAAAGATCTTACAGACTCTTGAATTCCTTCCAAGCATCTAAGAAAGACCAAAAAAAAAAAAAATCATGTATCAATTCTTGCAAGGAATACAATAATAGAAAACACTTTAAATCATTTAATGAGAATTCCACATTCATCATTCAAAAGCATAAACTTTAAAATAAAAGAAAATTTGTTATTCATATGTAATAATGTAAACATAAATGAATATTAGCAATCTAATTCTAGTGCAATAATAGTGGAGCAGAATAGAGACTTAAAATAAAATTCCACACGTTTAAAAATATTCAATTAATAATGAAAGTTATAATACATGGCAAGTTTCTGTTTGATTAATGATGCTGGAAAGATTGAGTATCCAAGAAAAAAAATTCTGACCTCTACCTCGTCGTATGGAGACAATGTCTTATATGGATGATAATTCAAAATGTACATAGTGAGACAATAAAGCTTTTTGAAAAAGCTATAGAAAAATATTCTTATTGCTTCGAGTTTCTTAAACAGACCACAAAGGTGAGAAAGTGTTTTCATTACACGTAGAGCCTGGTAATCTGAACTACTTTAGAACTAAGAACTTTATCAAAATTCACCATAAAAAGACTAAAATAGGAGACAACTTAATGAATATGACTGATTATACGTATATGAATTTATATATAGCAGGTTTCATATCACCTATGTATGTATGCATCGAAGAGCAATTTATACCCATAGCAATTTATGTACTTTAAATAGTTCTTATGAATAATGAGAAAATGACATCGATCAGCCCTATGGAAAAAGAACATAGTTTCTGAACAAGCACTCCACAACGATAAGGATATCCAAATGTCCCATGAACACGTAAAATAACTTTAAGTGATCACAAATATAAAACAGACTTCTTAGAACTATGCAGTTAAAAACAATTTATCAACAATTTTTGCAAACTTTTTCTTCTTAGATGTTAAGACAAAGCTGTGTTTCTTTATAATTTGCTATGTCAACTCAAATACAGATATTAAAAATGAGCAGTTCCTCAGACTAAATATTAAGTAAGACTTTCTACTAGGACCTTCCAATATGTAAAATCATACAAAACAAATTAAAAATTCTGTTTTGTAATCCACTTACAGAAAAGTGGGGCCAGCAATAATACCTTGTCCTCTTACCCTGTGTTGTTCTTTATGACAACTTTCATTATTATTTTACTGATGGGTCAGGGAATATTCAACTTGTTTTTAATTTAAGGAAAGTTTAGGAAAACATAACAATTGCTGAGAACTTAAAAGCCAGAAAAAAATAAGAAATTTCACATAAATTTGCATGATTACTGAATGCTATTCATTTTATAATAAAGTTTTGAATCAAAGCCTGTAGCATTAATTGAAGATTCATTTGTATTCAGGGCCCTTTGAAAGCTCTTTATGAATAAGTTCCAAGATTATTACATTTTTAAAGAAAATGGCCTAAATCAATGTTCAGTAATGAAAACAAGCTGTCATAAAGCATTTCATGAATGGCTGCAAGGAAAGAGATAGTCACTGAGTTCAGCTATGGGGTTCTGACCCAATGAAGTTGTAAGTTGTTGATCATTTGGCAGGTTGAAAGGTCTACCCATTGTCTGCAAAGTCACCTCGCCCTCTACAGCTCACATCCTCTTGTTAGAGAGCAAGACTCTTCTCTTTTTCTTTTTACAATTTGGCATCAGCCAAAAATTTCAAACAATTATGCTCATGACATTCTGAAGAAAAAAAACACTATTGAAAAAACACAGCTTATGGTCTAAAAAAATCTCTTCAAATCAGTGGGCACTTGATTTACATTAATCATCTTGTTTCTTAGAGATTTTGAAGTCTGACTGAAATGACAGCGGTTGTAAAACAAAAGCAATGAGCTAAGGCAACATTTTAAAATATAATTATCATTCTGATGCTTGCAAGCTAAATTATTGTTTGAACAAAAGCATATTTTTAACGATGTCCTCTTTACAGACAAACCTCTTTACAGATAGTTTTTTTTCTTAAATTCCTATATTGTACCTTAAGTTGATGAAACCAGATTAATCATAATACTTGGTCCATTATACAATTTATTAAAGGACCCTTCTAAATTTTATTTTTTATTTAATAATATAATAATGAACACACACAAAAATATCATTTACCTAAACCAAAAGACGGCCCCAATTATGGATGTACACTAATTCTTGAACCATTGGATGATCTGTTTATTGGAAAGAATAAGTTTAAAAGATATACAGCAAAGAGCTGTGGGAAAACGGTATGTGGGTAGACCTCTCAGAATAGAATTAATGTATACATATTTGTGTCTCTTGTGAATGATGAATAATCAGGTGAATAAAATGACTCATTATATGGCAGAACAACACCCTGTTTCTCCAATTATGTTGGGCTCACTCAATATGCCTATGTAAAAAGTGGTCATGTTAATAAGGATGCAAGGGCTGAAACTGTATTTTTCCTCACCAAAGCTAACTGCCACCTCTTGATTAATCCATTCAAAGCAGATAAAAATCCTGGGCCCCCATTTTTCAGGGAGATCAGACTGTCATGTGATGGTGGGCTTATCATGTTTGAATCTTTCTATCATGAAAGGTGCAGAGATTTGATCCTTCTAGCAGCTACCAATTCTGGGATACATCTTTGTTCACTGTTTGTTTTATCAAATTAACCAATTAATAGGCTTATACCTAGTTAAGAATTTTTAATATTAAATTTGTGATTATATTGGGTCATTTCCTATTGCTTTTAGACTCTAACCAATAAATGTATTGCATCCTTTTTCATTATTTCATCTTTGATCACATTTCAGTATCTTTATATTTAAATGTGTTTCTTTAAAAAAGTTTAAAGTTTGGTTTTCATTATTCAAGTTGAAAATTGTTTTCTTTTCATTGGAGTATTTATTCAATTTATAATTAACTTTATTATGCTTTATTCAATGGCTGACATATTTTAGTTTAACAACAATTTTCTGAATAAATTATAAATTCAATGTTATAAAAAAGTCAATAGAGATATAACAATATTAGGTACTGTACTGGCAAATTTTACATGTCGACTTGACTGGATTAAGGGATACCTGAATAGCTTATAAAGCATTATTTCTGGGTATGTCTATGAGGGTGCTTCTGGGAGAGATTGGTGTGTGAGTCAGTGGACTGAGTAGGAAAGGCCTACTTTCAATGTGGGTGGGCACCATCCAATCAGCTGGAGGCAAGATAAAACAAACAAAAAAAAAAGGGAAATTTTCTTTCTCTTGGAGTTGAGATACCTTCTTCAGGATCCTGCCCTTGGACAATAGAACTCCAGCTTTCTGGCCTTTGGACTCTTGGACTTGCACCAATTCCCCTCCCTCTCCCAGGTTCTCAGGCCTTTGGCCTCAGACTGAGAGTTACATATCAGATTCTCTGATTTTGAGGATTTTGGACTTGGACTGAGCCACGTTACCAACTTCTCTGGTTCCCCAGCTTGTGGACAGTGTGTTGTGGGACGTCTCAGCCGCCATAATCACGTGAACCAATTTACCTAATAAATCCCCTCTTTATCTATCATCTATCTATCTATCTATCTATCTATCTATCTATCTATCTATCTATCTATCTATTCACCTATCCATCCATCATCTATCTATCCTATTGATTCAGTCTCTTTGGAGAACCCTGACTAATACAGGTAGTTAGTATATTAATAAAGTAACATATAAAAAAATTGTGTTATTTTACCAGATTGGAAAAAGAAATCTCAATTTGTTCAAACTCCAATTTCTTCACAAACTTAAGGAAGGTAATATTTATTTAAATTTTGTGGTTTTATTTAAAAGAGATAATGCATATAAAATACATAATATAATACTCAGGACATAAAGGATATTTGATAAGTATTATTCTAAAATTTTATTTTCATATTTCTTTTTTATTCTCCTCCATTTTATATCATACAAAAAATTATAACAAGTAAAACGTGTAAAATAATTTTAAGACTACTAACGGTACACATTATTAATTTCAATACCCGGTGCAACATGATACATTTTCTAGGCAGGATAGAAAACACAGACGATTAAAAGCAAGCAAACATGATATAACTTCCAGATAAGCCATTTCAAGAACATCTATCTTCATATTTACCTTTCTTACATGTGTAATCAAATAATAATTCTACATACAGTTTTATAACTGTTTGCATTTGATTCACTGTGAAAAGTTTTCAGGAGTAAAATTTATCTGTGTGTTTGTATTGTTGCATTCATTATGGTTAACATATAACATTTAAACCATCATGAAGATTTGACATTACAAAGAATAGAGAAAAGATGTTAACTTTCTATAAAAATGCTTGGATTATACCATTTGTATAACATCCCAGACTGATTATTGTTAAAGGTTTTTCTTTCATTTGTTCATTTAGTCATTTTGTTCTCTATGCTCTTAGAGTTGCTGTTTTAGGTAAATGTAAAATATGTAAGATGATATTAAGTACTGTACAACTATGACATGGTACAAGAAAGAGTGAAGCAATGGTTGGAATTGGCAAATACCATGTTAGATATTATTTTAAGTATGATATTCTAGGAAGGTCTGTGATCTCGTAAAATTTGAGTAACCTCTTCATTGATATGAAGGAGCAAAACATTCAAAATCTGGGGAAAGAAGATTCCTACAGTAGGAGGACCAGTTGTAGACTTCAAGTGGGAGCATCCTTGATGTGGTGGAAAAGCAGACAGATGTTTAGAGGAGCTGAAGCTGAGGGCAACATTATTCTTTTTTTTTTTTCAACAGATGTCTATTTATTTACTTATTTATTTATATTATTATTGTAATAGTTTTGAAGGAACAGGTGGTGTTTAGTTACCTGGATAAGTTGTTTAGTGGTGATTTCTCAGATTTTTATCCACTCATCACCCAAGCAGTGTACGCTGTAACCAATGTGTAGTTTTTTATCCCTCACATCTCTCCCACTCTTCCCTGAGTCCCCAGAGTTCATTATATCATCCTTATGCCTTTGAGTCCTCACAGCTTAGATCCCATTTATAAGTGAGAACATACAGTGTTTAGTTTTCCATTACTGAGTTACTTCACTTAGAGTAATAATAACTCCAGCTCCATCCAGGTTGCTGTGAATGCCATTATTTCATTCCTTTTTATTGCTGAGTAGAATTCCATGGTATATATATCACATTTTCTTTATTGACTTATTGGTTGATGGGCCTTTAGGCTGGTGCTATATTTTCACAATTGCGAATTGTGCTGTTATAAACATGCGTGTGCAAGTGTCTTTTTTATATGACTTATTTTCCTCTGGGTATATACCCAGCAGTGGGAATGCCAGATCAAATGGTAGTTCCACTTTTAGTTACTTTGAACATTCTTCTAAAATGACTTTCAATCATCCCTGCCTCCTGTATTTATGACCTGTGTAATCCCCTCTACTTGATTGAGGGCTGTGTTTAGTAACTTGCTTTGAATAAATATAATGTGGCAAAAGTGATAAGATGCCACTTTCAAGATTAGATTTTAAATGACTGTGATTCTCTCTCTCTCTCTATTTTTGTTTGTGTACGTGAGATGTCATCTTTGTGTTGATGAAGCAAGCTATCATGTGGACAGAGCAATAGCGAGGACCATGTGGCAAGAGACTGAGCACAGTCTAGCTAATAGATAGCAATAAACTGATATCCACAGTTCACCAGCTCCAAGAAGCTGAATTCTGAAAAAAAGCACATGAGTAAGCTTATAAGTGGATCCTTCATTAATCACATCTTCAGATGCGACCTTAGCCCTGGCTGACAATTTGATGGTAACTGTGTGAATAAACCTGAAACAGAGCAGCCAGATGAACTGTCTGGATTCTAGGCCAACAGATTTTAAGATAATACATGTGTGCTGTTTAAATCCACTGATATTTGGGGGCAAGTTTTTATGCACTAGTAGATAACTAATACAAGATAAGTAAATTAGACGAACAGTCATAGTAAATAACATCAAAAAATGTCACTAGATGTAGATCAGAAAATGCATTTAGGTTTTGGTGGCTGTATGGCATTTTACTCTGACTTTGTACCTATTGTGGAGTCTGAGTGGACAATTTTTTTTGATATGACATACTTTTTGAAATGTGTTCTCTTCTTTATTAAAGAATATAGTGTTTGAAACTGAGCTATTAGAAAGGATAATTTTCATTATTTAAAAACATATTAAACCATAAAAAGCTGCTACCTCTTTAGTAATAATCTTCATTTAAATATTTTTTAAATCCAGCAAGAGATAAATTTTGAAACAAAACACAATTTTTCTTATATAATTAATGTTGTCCCTTAGACAAGACACTAATCCATTATTTTTTTCTAATTCTGAGAGGGTTCCCCCATAGTTGTTCTAAACATTGTTGAATGTTATAGCCTTTATCTATGTTTTTGAATTGTTTTATTAACTATGGTTAACATATGCCATTTAAACTATCATGACATTATGACATTATAAAGAGAAGAGATTATAACTCTATATGTCTAAAAAGGCTTGAATTATACCCTTTGTATATCATCCCAGATTAATAGCCATTTGAATGTACTTTCCTACGCTTTATTCAATGGTTGATATATGTTTCCTTATAGTTGTTGTAAACATTGTTGAATGTAATTGCTTTCTGAAAGGAAGTATTCTGTCTGTACAAATTTGAAAATTTAGGCACATTAACCGTTTAATTGTGAACATATTAAGAAATTCTCTACCAAAAAATTGTTTAAGGTAACTTAAGCTTTATGAACAGTGAACACTTAATTTTAATAGACATTTACAATATTATCTAGAATGATGACTGAGAAACATTTATTTATATGAAATCCTCCTTGGCAGATATAATTTTGCTGCAATAATAATCCCGGTTTATAGAATAATTATGGTAGAGTAATTATTGACTTCTGGCACATGGATAAGAATGAAAGTGAGCAAATATTTTTGATTGATGTGAAGGAGCAAAACATTCAAAATCTGGGGAAAGAAGATTCTCACTGTAAGAGGAGCAGTTGTAGAGAGTTCAAATGGAGCATCCTTGGTATGTTTGAAGAGCAGACAGATGTTTAGGGGAGCTGAAGCTGTGTGGAACAACTCAATAATGGGGGCGGGGAGGTGAATAATAAAACAGTAAGTGATTTTTCTATTATTGACTTGTAATCTAAATTACAAGAATTTATTAACTACAGATTTACAGAGTGCCAGAATAACCTTTGTCAGGGCAATGCGTCTACCATCATAATTAGTTTGTCATTGTTAATTTACAGAGCTTAGTACATTAAAACTTATTTTGCTACCTTAACTGATATACTATCTTGAAATTAAATATGTCAAGCAAGAACTTCCCCCTGTAATATAGAGTAAAATTTAGTTTAGACATTTTTATTGCATGAGAGCTATAAACACTATAAAGTTAACATTTATATATTAAACATAATTGCCCATTAAAGTGAGTAGAAAACATATTGTTCATTTTAAGTAATGAAGAATCATTGAATCTAGTTCTAAATTGTATGCTAAGGTGCATTCTAACAGTTTCTAGAACATTTAAGCCAACATAATTCACACCATTAACCATCACTTTTGCAAGATTAATGTTCTCTTGATACAGCTTTGATGAGATTTTTGTTTGTCTTATTATTTCAATATCCATTGTTGATGTATTCAACTAGATTAAAATTTATTCCTTGTATTATCTATTTATATGTGCAAAATACTTTCCTAAGTACTCATATAAACAAATTTCAGTTATTTCAGAATAATCTTTTGAAGTAGATTTTATTCTCATTTGTATCCCCTGTGAACAGTTGAGTGAGTCATGGGAGAGTCAAATGACTTATTCAAGGTGGAATATCTAGTTAGTTTTAAAATCTCAGTTTGCTCCCAGTTGTCTGGCTTAAAACCCTGTGTGCATAATGACTATACTACAGTCCTGGATTTATTTAAAATTAAATCAAATAAATTCAGAATTTGTTAGGTGGTTAGCAACTCATAGATAAGAAAGCAAAAGTGCAGAAAAGATGGCAAGACTGATGTCAAAATTTTCCCTCAGACAAAATAAAATATATGGGAAATTTTTCAGATTAGAAGATTGAAAAATCTATCTAATAGACTCCAAGATGATTATGTATTTTATTACAGAAAAGGGTATTATTCAATAATAATTCTAACTGTAATACTTCAGTAGGAAGTAGAATTTTACATATATTTTTATAATGGTAGGTCTTTGTTCAACGATGAGCTAAATAACAACTCACAATGTGAGTGATGCATGAACTAAAGAAGTGGAAAATATTTTGGAAAGCTCAGAGAAGAAATTATAAGTAAACATTTTTAAATCTCCACTTAGAACTGACATTTTTAATTGCTTAATTGCAACATGTATAGTTTTATTTTATATAAATCTAAAATTAATGTTTAAACAAATAATAAAATATATCTGATAAAAGTAATTTATTATCTCTGATTTCAATTAAAAATATTAGGGAATACTTTGATGGTTTCAAAATTTACTTTGATGATGTCTGAATCAATCCTAATTTTAAATACTTTTAAACACCATTTTGCTTGAAAAGAATATAAAGCTAGAAATGTTTTAAACATTTAATTACAATAACTCCAAAATCTAAAACAGTACATTTCACGTGGCACAAATTCAATAATTATTTGTAAAATAAATAGATGGGACAACATTGTGTGTAAAATTTCATGCCAAATTCAAAATTAGGTAGTGTGGCATATATAAAATTTTGCATTCTGTCTACTTTTACATTTATTGTAAGCATATTTTGACCAAATTGTATGTAGACAAATATAATACTACCCATGATATATTAATTGTATTTTTATTGTTAAAAATGAGTCTTGAAGGCATACTGTATATTGGACATTCACAGAGGAAATTTGAGATAAAAGAAATCACTGTAGATTAATGCTAGTTTTATAATACAAATAATATGTTAATAATATACTAAGCAAATTATATTATGTCTCCAATTTAAAATTATTCAATTCTGCATAGCAAAAAAACTATGATGGAAAGTGATTTAACGTAATTCATAACAACATTAGTCATATTATATGTATGCAGAAGTAGAGATAGAAAAAAGCTTCAATGGACACATTTTACATAAACTTAAATGCCATTAATGCCAATTCTGAAAGACATCAAGAGAATTCCATTGTTTTATGAGTAATATCATTTCTTCACATGGCTTAATTACCTGAGAAAAGGCAGATCATTGGGGTTAATTGATAAATATGTATATAAAATATGCTTTAAAGTTAAGGACAGTAGCTGGTTTGTATTAAACTGAGACTACAAATAGGAAAGTTGGCTTTATTATTACTATCTATACCTAGGAATTATCAGTATTCTTTTATAATTATTTAATATTTAGTCATGAGAATAACTGTCCTCAGCCCATTTCATTTTGAAAATTAGCTCTTAAAACTTGAAAGCAAATTTGTGGCGTTAGTCCTATCAGTTCTGCAATAATCAGTACTCTCCATTTTTGTGTTCCTGGAATGTAAGTACAGAAGCCTGTAGAGTAGGAAAGTTCATTCATCTGGCTAGAAATGATCACCTACCTATGTCACATTAAGATGGGGGTGCTTAAGGTGAAAAAATAGCCTCTGACTTATTTTCTGCCTTCATGTTTACTGAACTTTTAAATGAATGGGACCTAAGCTACATGGAATGGTGAGCCTATTAGAAACATCCAGGTCCAGTTGTCACTTTTGAAAAGGAAATAGGGAAAACAGTGGTGATTCAATGCCAAAAAACCTAAATAACATGGTAAATATAAATTGGGCTGTGTGACATGTGTTTAAGAAATTGTTTACTAAAAAGAGAAAAAAGTTTAGAAATAATGAATTTGTGAAAAGATTCTGTGGGAAAGTTCTATGTTTGTGTCTTTCCAGAAATACAGTAATCAGGCATGAAAAAATAAACTTGACATAGGAAAAATTTAAAATGTAAAGTAAACCAATTTATTGACCAAAATTATATTAAAAAGAAACTGACTACAAGATGCTTTAAAATCTTCAACTTTTCCCTCTAGGAACTAAAAAAAAAAATTCCCAAAGGGTTTCAGTATACAGAAAAATGTAGTGCTGCTCCTGTTAATATTGTGCTTAACTTAGATAATTATGGGCATTACCGTAATTACTCTTTGAAATATACTAAAAAATTAATACTTTGTACTAATATAAGGAGACATTATATAGAGAGAAAGATAAACGGATGTATAGATATAGAGATATGAATGTGCGTAATCTATATCTTTATATAACTGATAATTTAAAAATAATATGTATTTTCTCTACTAAGCTGCAACATGGGAGCCCAAAATTCTAAATGAGCTGTGCAGACAGCAATGGACCTTGTAAATGAGCCCCTGCATGCAGAGTGAACAATTTTACCCCTGCCATTCACTGAAGCCACATGCATTTATGTAGTGCTATTCCTGTGTTGAAGTCATGCTACTTCTCACAATTATAAACATGGAAAGAAATATTACATGTCCAGGGTATTTCAAGATTTTTTTTGTTTCAATAAAATAATTACTGTTTTCCTTGGAACTATAGCTGATTTTAGCAAATCCCTAAGCAAAACTGTAAACGACTGATAAGTAAATCCAAGTATCTTTACAAAAAGATTTTAATGTATAGATATGGTTTTATCTTCCTATCAATTTGTATTTCATCTTTCCCCAAGGAATACATGTAGCTTTTTACTCTTTCCCATCTCAATTTGATTAAATATTTATTGCTCTTGTGAGGTAGCTAAGTTTCACAAAACTGTACTCATTAAAACTTAAAATAGCATCTCATATATTGATGAATTCCTCTTTCAAACTTGTGCCTCTAGAAACAGGTAAAGTATTGGTGATTTATTACTGAAAAGAATGTAACTACTGCTGTTCATTTCTAATGAGATGTATCAGAAATGGATTTCAGATACTATATAAAGAATGTAATTTGAAATAAAGATTATTACTATTCATAGAATCATATTAAAAATAAAAATGAGTTATCACATATTTCCAGTGTTTTCTCTCAACTTTCTAATACTCATAACTACCAAAAAATAATTATCTTTAAAATGCTCTAGAAGTGTTAGGTCTTTCTAAGGTATTGGCCTATATAGAGAAAACAGTTATTTAGTCAGTGAAAGAGAGAAGATAAAAAGAAAAAACATTGAAAATGTGGTGACCTTATAGGTTGATAACATTGAAAAAAATAGTCTCACAGAAGTGATATTTTATAACTAAAAAGAAATTTATATTAAATCACCTGTATAAGCAATTTGTGTTAGGAAAAAATAACCTATAAAGTTTCAGTATCTTTCTACAAAAATTTTATTTTGTATACTTCTCAAAAAAAGGGTTCACACAATGATCTGAAGTTCAGCTGTGGCTTTCCTGATCTTGGGCTGCTCAGTGAAATTCATGTCTCTTTTTAGGGTACGGGCTGAAGAAAACTGTCAGTTTCAATTAGTATCTGGGGTGTATTATGTTCTCGGTTCAGCAACAGAGTTCAGGAGTAAAAACCAACAATATTAATCTCATCAGGTACACCAGCACTTCATGTCCGTGATATGCTGACATGTCTGGCATCAATGGGACAGGGGGAGCCACTGAAAAATTTACACCTCAAAAGAATGGGTATTTATACAAAAAAAAGAAAATAAAAAATGAGGCAATAACACAATCTAGTACATCAATCCTATAACTATTTTAAAAAATAGCTTAGAATTAAGCAATTCCAAATAACTTTGTGTACATTCTTTCTTAAGTTTCAATATTTATAAACAATATAGCTCTGGGCCTTTTAAAGTAAAATGCATTTTAACTTATGTGAAACATAGAAATCCAATTAATACTTTGTGGTTTTTATTCCAATGAATTTCCCCTATTGGGAATTCAGCTTGTCAGGATGCTGTAGACTTTTATTTTTGCTTAAATTAATATTGAGTAAAGAAATATCCCAAAATATAATCTTCTTATGTGGAAAAAAAGACTCAAGTGTAAAGCAGACTCTCACAGAATACTAATAGCAAATCTGTTTCATACAGAATGGCATAAAAATATACCATTACATCCACTTCCTACTAGCATCCTCTTTTAGATGTTATGATAACTTTTGTGGATGTCCAATGATAAAATTTACCACAAATTGTAGCTGATTTATTTTAACACAAGTAATGCCTAAAATGTCTAAGTGGTGCAATGAAAAATAAGCATAACTATTAAAAAACTAAACTATCCTTGAAATTTTATTGACAATCTTTAGAAATATACATTTGTAGGCTCATTGTAATTACATAATGTAATTGGACTGCTTAAAAGTGAAAGGGTATACACATCCTTTAATCAGTCTAGAAAGGTCACACCTGAATTGAAAAAAAAATAGTATTATAACAAGTTGAACTCATGGGAAGCATTATGAGTGGGATTCTTTCCATTTGCAATACTGTACTGGAGATGATAAAGAACATTCAAAATCTTCCTTAACTCAATGAGCTTATTAACTAACCATATAACGTGATATTTCTTAGAACAAGAAAATCGATCATTTCTGCTCATATAATCTGATATGGTCATAATTGTGAAGACATTCTGCACATGATTATTTAGGCTTAAGTATGAATAAAGATTCCATTTAAGTATATGCATTAAGTATATGTGGATTTCCACATAGATTGAAAAAAGGTTTTATGGATGGGTGAATCTTGTTCAGCAACTGTGGGTAGCTAAAGAAATATTAGCCATGGACAGGTAGGTGTTGTCATGGATGAATATCTTCATCAACAGACCATAAGAGCAAATTAAATGCTACATTTTACAATTTTAGTTATCACATTGATTTTTCAAGCTGGCAGCTGGTAATACCCAGAGGAACCAGGCATTCTCATGTTCACTTCCTTTAGAAAAAATGTGTAGTACTTTCAGTAATGCTGGTTCAAAGCCGCCAAACTCCAATAAATCTCATATGCAAATAAAATTGCGATATTATTTGTGATTTTTAAGAACTGGGATATAGTCTTTTGAGAACTTCTGGAAAAAATGTAAAGCAATTTGTTTCACTAATTAGCACGACACCACATGTACTTGACTCTCCCACAAGCAACTCAAACCATCATGTTTAAAACCGAGTCCATCACATGTGGGACATTTTTATACTAATTAAAATACAAAATTTGCTTTTATATAAAAATGAGTTTGAACTCCATATTATCCAATTAGTCATTATGTAAAAATAGGCAGGCTGCTTTATTTCTCTCTCTTTCACGTATAACTGAAATAGAGCCATTGATACTAAACAGAGCTGGCAATGAAAATGAAATGTAATATTAAAATTTGTAGAGATTTTAACATAGTTCCTGGTATATAAAGATAAATAATTGTTATTAGCTTGGCCTAACTATTGAGAATTTATTATACACTAACCCCTGCTCTATGTTTCTAAAGGTATTAATCCATTTATTCTTCATAGATCACTTTGAGCTACTTACAATAATCAACCCTATTTTACAAAATAAAAATGCAGATAAGTCAATGCCTAAGTTATATATTTGTCAGTAACATCACAATTTGAATCCAGCAGTCTGTCTCCTTTTAACCACTAAAAAACCAAATCCTTGTTGTCTAGAATAAAATGTTATTTACTTAAAATTTTATTTCCTCAACTATTAAATGGTTTTTGATACATGGCCACAAATTTACTTGTTGAAGTTTACATAAATATATAATCTTCATTATTATAATACATGCAAGTAACCATTGTATATCTAGAGTAGGCAACAAGTACTTTGTATGTGGTTTTGTGTAGTATTCTCAGATTACTTCAGAATATATGTAGTGAGTTAACTTTTTGAACTATTAAAATTTCCAACGTAGGTAACAGATGACATGAAGGTAAAGTAAGCAGCCACATATAGAGTGTATCTCTGACAAGAACTCATTAATCTGACATAGTGCTTGCTTTCCCAAATTTGAAAATCTATCATTCTGAATTAGAATTCAGCTGATATTTTTAGAAGATTAATATATCGTTATTATTTTATTTCAAAAAATGTTGTGCTTTTTCCAACTTTTAATTCCATGTGTTATAATTCATCAATATCACTATTATTTTTGATGTTTAAATTGTCCCAAATTTGGCCAAAGCAAGCTTCTTCCAGCTGGCACTGGAGTTCTGTCATATTCCCATCTGGTGTTTTCAGAATACTTAACAGGCTAAATTTGAAGCTACACGGAGAAAAAAATGATATTTTTCAACACATTTAGTATAGCAAAGAATCCAAAATGTCCAAAAACCTTCAAATTATTGTCAATAGAAAGCAAGACTTAAAAGTAATTCCTCATACATTCTTAATATTGCTAAAATATTTTGAAGAGAACATTACTAGTGAGAACAATTAGAGTAACACGACTTCAGGGTTAAAGTTACTCTTATACTTCATTTTTCTATATAAATGTAGTAAATATAATTTCCAGTAGAGAATGTTGAAAATTTTAAGAAATAACATTTTGGTATAAGATCCATTTACTTTTTAAAATCTGACTTGTTTGGTTTAAAGACTTGCCTTCTAAAGAAAATACATATTTGCAGTTTAATTATTCAATTAGTTAAGATGGATAATTATACTGAACTATACATTATCAAATTAGATTATTCTATAAGAAAAATGTCCAATAATATTCTGAGTTCATTAGTATTAATGCTATTTACCACGACCACATCATATAAAGTAGGTCTTTCAACCTTGACCTAACTGAAGACAACGTGAATTAAAAAGCTTAATGAAGTTTCAGATATATGTGTAATTTTTTTCTGTAAAGCACATTTAACATCATGAGTAAATCTTCCCAATATTTTGTCTGTGTCTTTACTTTTAGAATGTATGTGCATTGTCTGGGAGGCTGTTCTACTGGTCTCATAGGCTCCCACTTGCAGCTACGTTAATCTGGTGGATGAACTGGAGGATCAAAGGTGACCTCACCCGGAAGTGTCACACACGATAAAATATGACATGTCAGGAAACAAATTTGTTGTATCATCTCATTTACTGGCTGGCTTACTTCACACTTACAAATTTCCCACAGCACTTGCTGCAATATGTGTAATTCTTGCAAAGCACCTGAGTAATTTCCTATGATATTTTATCTCTATGGCACTGTGTTCTATTGTATTGTTTTATTCTGCTATGTTCTTTTCCAGTCTATTCTTTATTAAAATGCAAATTTAAAAACAGTGAGCACAACCCACTTACTTGGGTTCCTGCTTCACTAATGAGCAACAAAAATCAGCTAGGCAAACACTAATATGAAGGATTTATGCATCTTCATAGGAGTATGCTACTTTTAAAAAAGCCAGAAGGTGTGTTGGTTTTGTAGAGGCGTTGAAGGAAGAAACAAAATGATATCAAAATGATATCAAAACAGACAATTAATTATACATTAATTGAGTGTCCTATTTTGGAAGAGTTCAAGTTGATTTTGGAAGGCATGTGAAAACACCGAAGTGACAGTACAAGATTACTTACCAGATCTCTGTGTGATACCTGCATATTATACAAAAATATCCATTCATACCCAAACATATTGATGACATTCTTTTCTATCCTCTGTTGTTGAGGGCTCAACGTTTATTGGACTCTTGTCAAGTTTCCTTCCAGTACCTCCTTGGGCGAGCATAAGTTATTTCATGGGATATCTCATTGCCCTTCTCCCTTTTAGATTTCCCATATACATATTTCTATATGGTCAAGTTATTGTTTTGGAAGGAAGAAATTTGGGATCTGAGGCAATCAATTTTTGGTTCTTAGTTCTTTGATAATAAACTTAATTCTTATTGGTTTGACTCCAAGTGTGTGAAAATCACATATATTATTTGGAATACATGATTTTGTAAATATATAGGTGTTTGCTAATAAATCTTATAAACTAATTCCTCTGTTAATGCCTTTATACATTTGGTTCTACATTTTCACCTCGAGAGTCTATGACTTCTTATTATCAAAAATATAACTAAATCAACTTTTATATAGTGTTTACTCCATATTAAATAATAGCCACTCATTTTTATGTAGTGTCCACATCAAAAACAGAAAAATAGATTCAAAAAATAACATTGACTTATATCATGTGAGGCTTTGCAGGTAGCAAATGTGAAGGGGATTTACAAAATGAAGGACTTTGAGATGATGACGGTTATAACATTAAAAAAGGGAAGTACACCAATGCATGAGTGATAGGGGAAAAATGAATAATATTTTTACATCCTTCACGTATCTACTCAAGGCCATATTTAAATCTGAATTAATTGTAAATTGTTATTAATAAGAATTTGCTTAGCTTTTATTATTAACTTTCCATAGAAGGTGAGTTCTGAGTCATTGCAGTGGGGAGAACTATAAGAGTTCTTCTGGTCTCACTTCTCCCCTTACTTCCTTGCTCATAACATCAAGGAGATGGCTAAGAGGATTGGTGGATCCGCTAAGAAGTTGGCGTCAAAGGCTATTATGTTTGGCCAGTAAGTGATGGAAACATAGGATCTAACTGATCCTTCTATGCTCACAGGATGCAAAGAAATTCACACATACACAAGCACATGCACACACACTTCTCTGGGTGCAGAAAATATGTTTATATTTCATGCAGATTTAAACAAAATATGATATTTAACTTTCTCACAAATAGGCCAAAAAATCTGAACTTGAAAAAGGAATGGGCAGAAAAAGAGGAAGTATATTTAAGTACTATCTTTCTTTGTAATGTATCCCAAATCTCTGGATTTTGGATCACTGGACGCATGTCTCCTTTCAGTTGTTTAGGAAATCCGAAGAGAAAAATATCATTATTAGCATCACTAAACTTTCATTTTTTTTTTTTTTTGGCTATAGACTGAATGTTTGGGTCTCCTAAAATTTCAAGTGTTGAAGCCTAGATTTCCAATGTGAAGTTATTAGAAATAGAGCCTTTGCTGGGGCAATTAGATCATGAGAGGGAAGCTTTCATGAAAGGGATTGGTGTCCTTATATGAAGAGACTTGAGAGAGATGATCTCTCTCTTTGCACCATGTGAGGACACAAAGAGATAACAACAGTCTACAAACCAGAAAATGGGTCCTCAGCAGACAACAGATCTGGCATTGTCTTGATCTTAGATTTTCCAGCTCTAGAACTGTGAGAAATAAATTTCTACTGTGTAAGCCACGGAATCTGCAGTAGTATGTTCTAGCAGCCCAAACTGACTAAGGCAGTAATGGCCTGTAACTACCCTAACAAAAAAAAAAATGAAATGTTCATTTGTTCTTCAAAATTTGAGAATTTTGTCATATTCCTAGGAATGCTGATTTTATTGGTAGCAAAAGTAATGAATAGGTTTTTAACTCTTAAAAATGTATTATCCATTTATGTGATTACTAAAAATGACTGTAAAACTTATTTAGGCAGGTGAGTTTGTAAAATTATAGTTAGCACACTATATAAATGGAATCTCAGTCAGGAAGTGGGCAATGATAATTTGCAATTTATTTCTGTGAATAGTACAGGTGTACAAATTTTAATTACTATAATCTGAATTAATTTCTAACTGAACATTTCTCTATCTTTTATTGCTAAAATAATTCATATGGAAATTTTTATCTGCTGTAAAAATCATAGGTTGATCTCATACCTACCACTTGATTTTTTTGTAGCAACCAAAGTCAATTTATGTGGTGATGTATAGTAGTATTACATAATTAGTACTTTTACAGTGTTGAAGGAAAGAAACTTGTTAAATGGCACAAGAGTTCAAAGGACAAGTCTGATTTTGAAAGCAGAAGCTATTTTAATTGATTAGCCTTTATATCATTAGCAGAGCTTATTATTGTTTTTCAAAGGCTGGCAGGGAGAGGGAGGAAATAAATTTCTGGTAATGATATTGTTGACATCGTTTTTGTATGTTTGAATAGACATAGAAATCAATAGATTTACAAGTCAGCAGACTAGTTTGTAACACCTTAATTTATGCAACTCTTTGTGAGTTTCCACAAAAAAAGTCTCCCCTTAGATAATGACAGTTAAAATATCCTCCCTTTGAAGTAAGTCTAGGGATACATGAAACGTGAAAGAAGACATTTGGTCTATAATACTATACAATATTATAAAAATAGATAAATTTAAGAACAATATTCAGCAAACAAATACAGTGAAACAAAAAATAAATTTACAAATACAGGCCATACACTCTCATTATACTCATGACCATATATTCTGGAAAAATACATGCAATGAGGCTCTGAGAGATTTAAATCTCTGTTCTCTGCAGTTGGCCTTAGTTCTATGAGCTCACATAGTGTGATAATATTGCCACCATAAATGTGGCTCTAAGCATTATATTTCATATTACATGGCTTCTAAACATAAATTTTAAGAGTAATTTTGACTTAGTGTGACTTTGAGCAACTAAACACGACAGAATACACAACCTATTTTTCATTATCTCTTCCAAACATAGAATTTACAAAAAAATGAATTAGAAGAAAAGGCAAAATAGAAAGAAATAAATATGTGTAAGTTGACAGTATAGTATATAAACAAACAAAATCCTCTAAGTAATTACATAAAAAATTATATTTCCTGAATATGAACTACAGATTTGAACTTATTAAAAATTTAGCATCACATATATTTGGAAACTAATGAAAGTTGGTAAATGGACAAATGCTAAGAATTAAAGTAAACCTATACATTGGCAAATATAGACTAACATAAATAGCACTGGGCATGATCCACAAATATATTTCACATTTGTAATTAAGCAAAATATTTGTGACATGAATAGTATGCACTTAAAGTAGGCTTTTCAGTTTACATTTTTACTTTTAAGTAAAAATTGAAAAAGACTCAAAGAAAAATAGATATATTAACAATCTTATAATGAAAGATAACAATCTCATAATGAAGGAAAAGGCAAAAACCAAGCAAGGGAAATTAGAATTTGACTAATATGATTAGCTAAGGCTAGAGAACAAAATACTAGTTATTTTCCAGGGTAAAACATACGCATTATATTCCCATAATAATGTGCATAATAAAAATTGCTCACAAAACAGGAAAAATAAAAATCTCACTAAGAAAAATCATTTTATCCTCGATACATGATACAATAAAATTAGTAAACAGCAAATGCAAATTTGTAGTGGAGGATAGGGACATTTATTGGCAATTTAAGATTAAAATATATATATATATAATATTACGAAAGAAAGTTTGCATTTTTGAGTTTCACAATGAATGTTCTTACTTTTGCCATTTGATCTGGAACCCAGAACTGATCTAGTCTGGGCAATTAGCCTTAGTGAGTAGCTGATGCAAGTGCATACATTTGTTTTTATGTTAAGCCCTCTCCCTTTCTATCTAAAGAGAAAATCCTGTGATTGCTCCAGTGACTGAAACTTAACTGAACTGCAACATAATTAGAAGATGTCAAGGCTGTCTGGTGTTCTTGGTTTTATCCTGATTTGACAAAGAGTTTAAATTTAGCTATACTAAGAATATAATTCAAATAAATTTAAGGTTAAATAATCCCGATGAACCTATGTTTTGGATTATTCTGCTGCAGAATACTTCACATTGCCATGGTTTGAATGTTTGTTTCCCCCCAAAATCCATATGTTTAAATCCTGACGCTCAATACAATGGTACTAGGAGGTGGCACCTTTGGGAGATAATTAGTTCATAAGGATGAAGCCCTCATGAATAGGATTAGTGCCCTTATAGAAGGCCCCAGAAAGCTCTCTCATCCCTTTTACGATATGAGTACATAGTAAGAAAGGACCATTTATGAGGAACAGGCTGTCACTAGCCGTGAAATCTGATATCACCTTAATCTTGGACTCCCAAGCCTCCAGAACTGTGAGAAATAAATTTCTGCTTTTTATATGCCACCCAGTCTATTATATTTATTATAGTACCCTGAACAGACTATGACATTTATACAGTAGGACTAAAGGGTAATTGATATATTCATTCGGAAAATATTTATTGAATACCTCCATACAAATTTCAGATGTTTGGATAGTTTAAAAGCCTCACGATACCCCACAGAGCATAATCACAGGAGACATTTTTTTAAGGCATAGGTTCAGGAACAGAAAGGGCAATAAAATGCAGGCAAACATTAAGGAATCACAAACAGTCCACTGCAAATCTCCAGTGTCTTTATTCTGACATTGATCATCAAGGTCTCTACAAAGAATTTTGGCTATGGGAGATCTTAAAAGATAAGTTCCCACTGGTGTGGTGATTTTTATTCCTTTTTGATCATGTGGACATTCCGACTTGTCTAACAGGTAGGCCAGTTTAAAACCATCAGTAAACAAATAGTCCCATGGTGTTTCCAGCTTTAGATAGCCACTGGGATGGTTAATTTTATGGATTAAAATTAACTTTTAATCTTTGTGAATCATAAAGCCCACTACCCTTGACTTGGCCACAGACAAACCCAGATATTCAGGAGACCCCAGTGATATCCAGCTGTATGTCAAGTCTATTCTACACTCCTACAATGTGCAAAGCACTCTTCTAAACCCAAGTGGTAAAGAAGCCAAAAAAAATTGAATTTCCTTGTATACCTGTAATAAACAAAATAAATAGGTTAAATAAGTAAGTATATATTAAGCCAGATAGTGATAATGCCATAGAGAACGATGTAAGAGACTACACACACACATATACACACACATGCACATACACACTGTATATAGACTATTTATATATATATTTTATATATATATATATATATATATATATATATATATATATATATAAAATATTATGGAATACTACTCATCCTTAAAAAAATAAAATAAAATGGCCAGTAATCCCAGCACTTTGGGAGGCTGAGGCGGGCAGATCATGAGGTCAAGAGATCGAGACCATCCTGGCCAACATGGAGAAACCCCACATCTACTAAGAATACAAAACTTAGCTGGGTGTGGTGGCACGCGCCTATAGTCCCAGCTACTCGGGAAGCTGAGGCAGGAGAATCACTTGAATGAGGGAGGTGGAGGCTGCAGTGAGCTGAGATCTTGCCACTGCACTCCAGCCTGGTGACAGAGTGAGACTCTCTCTCCAAAATAAATAAATAAATAAATAAAGTCTTTTGCAACAACATGGATAATACTGGAGGCCATTATCCTAACTGAAATAACTCAGAAGCAGAAAATAAAAAAACCTTATGTTCTCATTTATAAGTGGGAGCTCAACAATGGGTACACTTGGCCATATTGAGTGGAACAATAGACCTGGGAGACTCCAAAAGGTGGGAGGGTGGGAGGAGGGTGAGGGATGAAAGATTAGCTATTGGGTACAATGTGCACTATTTGGGTAATGGGTACACTAAAAGCCCAGATTTCAACACTATGCAATATATCCATGTAAACAAATGGCACTAGTACCCTCCAAATCTATAAAAATGAAAAGTAGGATATTTAAAATACACACACACACACACACACACACACACACACACACACACACACGAGAGAGAGAGAGAAAGAGAGATCCAGCGGCCAGAAAGACCTAATTTGCAAGAAGCAAATAAAAATAGGAAGGAATTGAGAGGGTTTGCTTTTTGTCTGGGGAAGAACGTTCCAGACTGAGGAAAGAGCAAGTTTAAGTCTACTGAGATGGAGCATCCTGACTTATTCCATGTACTGGGAGCCAGTGTAGCCAGCAGAGCATGTACAATCGGGCAAGCAGGAGTCGAAGTGAGACAGGCAACTGAAGGCAGATTACATAGGGCCTTTGTAGGCACTTGTAAAGATCTGTTTTTTCTTTGAGTGAGATGGGAGGCTACCGGAAGCTTTTGGGCAGAAGAGTCTTATGTTATGACACACTGGCCAGTATGCTTAAAAATGAAGAAAGCAATGAAGCAAGGCAGGAAATTTTTTGTGGAAACTACACCAATAATTAAGATAATGGGTAATGCTGACTTGTACTTGGGTATTCACAATCTACAGTATATATTTCAAAAACAATATAGACAATCTAGCCCCAAAGTACCTCCAGGGGAATTTCAAACTTTAAACAACACAGTATTCATCACAAGAAGCATATCTCATCCTTATCTTGGCCAAGGGGCAGAAGCAGAGTCGAGAGATAATCATAGAGCTGTCGCAGTCAGATACAAGATCTCTTTTTATTACACAGTCCAAGTTTCTGATTTGGGGACAAGGCTTTTAATTATAAATTGCTCAATACTATCCTATTTCTGCATGTTTGGCACCATTTATAAAACAGAAAAATTGAAAGAAAAAATACCAACATACTACCTTTACTTATAATCCAATGAGATTTTATTTTAAAGAAATATTTCAGTTAACCCACTAATCTAACAGAAAGTTGTGTAAAATCATGCACAATCTTGAGAACTATATTGCTCTTTTTACCTGAATCTTTTTTCTTTTTTTTTATTCACTGTTTTGTTCTTCTCTTAGTGCTTATTCTAAAATTTTATCTTGCATCATTCATGATTTTCTTATAAAGCATAAAGCTAATCAGTATTTTTCTTTTTAGCAAGACATAAACCATAGAATTCTCTATCCTTCTTTAAAACTCCCAGATTACTCTAATTTTTATATTTGTATTGTCTGCCACTTAAATGATTCAACATCATCAAACTGTTGAAATGTATTTATCAGTAATACTTTTATGCCTGCTATTATTATTATTATTATTTATTTTTATTTATTTATTTATTTATTTTTTTGAGACGGAGTCTCGCTCTGTCACACAGGCTGGAGTGCAGTGGCACGATCCAGGCTCACTGCAAGCTCCGCCTCCCGGATTCCCGCCATTCTCCTGCCTCAGCCTCTCGAGTAGCTGGGACTACAGGCGGCCACCACCAAGCCCGGCTAATTTTTTATATTTTTAGTAGAGACGGGGTTTCACCGTGTCAGCCAGGGTGGTCTCGATCTCCTGACCTCGTGTTCTGCCCGTTTCGATCTCCTGACCTCGTGTTCTGCTCGTCTCGGCCTCCCAAAGTGCTGGGATTACAGGCGTGAGCCAGGGTACCTGGCTACTATTATTATTTTTAATCCTTCCTTAAATTTACTGATGTATTCCATCATTTTATTTCCTTTCTATTGTTTCTTAAATCTTGCTCTTTCACTTTTTAAAAAACTGCTCTTTAGTCTTAATTTCATGTTTTACTTACTCCTTCAGAGAGTGCATGGACAATAAAACCTCTTGGCTTTTTTGGCTTTTTGATATCCTATCTATCATACAGTATCTTAATTCTATCTTTACTGTTAAATAAATCTTGAAACACGCCTTTTGCATATCGTTCAACTTTTAGCTAGCTTAACCATTTATGCAAGACTCCTGTTCCTAAAGTTTTTGTAATTAAAGGGGCCTAAGACTTTTAACAGCTATTCCCCAATGACTGTTATAATCTCAGTCTCTTAGACATATACCTGTTTGGCTAACCATGTCTTTAAACAACCTTAATGTTCTAGTCATAGTTTCTTATTTTGGTTTTGGTTTGGTTTGGTTTGGTTTTTGTTTGTTTGTTTGTTTTGTTTTGAGACAAAGTTTCACTTTTGTCGCCCAAGCTGGAGTTCAATGGTGCAATCTCGGCTTACTGCAACCTCAGACTCCTGGGTTTAAGCAATTCTCCTGCCTCAGCCTCCTGAGTAGCTGGGATTACAGGCATGCACCACCACGCCCAGCTAATTTTGTATTTTTAGTAGAGATGGGGTTTCACCATGTTGGCCAGGCTGATCTCGAATGCCTGACCTCAGATGGTCCACCTGCCTTGGGCTCCCAAAGTGCTGGAATTACAGGTGTGAGCTACCACACCTGGCCTAAATTTCTTGTAATTGGAATTTTATTTTATGTTTTTCCCTGCTCAGTGTGTTTTGTAACTGAATAGTGTGCTTCTTATGGATCAGCATAACTTTTATTTAATAAAAGTTCATTAATAACAACTTTTAATTAAGAAATTTTTTAATTAATAAAAGTTAATTAATACAGTTTAATTTTGACTGAGAAGGCCAACCATTGCACATAATTCACTAAAAAGTAATGCTCTAATTAGCTACTTGTAAATCATTAGTTACATAGTAAATTCCTTAAGGATAAGACTCCTATTGAATGTTGACCTTCCAGCCTAGCACAGTTCCAGGCCAAAAATAGCACTTGATACACATGAAAGGAAATGAATGTTTTTGAGTGATGCTCAAGCAAATACCAAAGGACCATTTATCAGTGGTCACTGATATTTTTGAGAGAAATATAGAATTATTTTCTGTTTCCAGCAACCAAAACTGTCTTAAGCATAAAAATATAAATATTTTTTGAGAGAAATATATTTTCGAGATAAAGTATAGAATTATTTTCTGCTTCCAGCAACCAAAACTGTCTTAAGCATAAAAAGTTATTAAAACTGAATTTAAAAATTATGACTATTAAAGCATTCAAATTGATTCAACAGTACATTATTATACTTAGAACATTTCTTCAGTAGATATATTATTCTTATCATAGTACATTACAAATTAATCCCAAAATTATCCTCTAGAACATATGTGATTGAAAAATGAGGACAGTATCAGGTAATATAAGATGTTTAAAGGGAATTTTAAGAAGCATCTTGAACCACATGAAAGGAGATAATTTTACACTAACTCATATGAAATGAGTTTGGTTCAATTATTTTGTTTCTGTAATAATCTCTTCATTCAGACATATACGGCTGTAATTTCTTATAAAGCATAAACTAGTAAAGACATTACTTAAAAATTCATTCTCCAAGTTTTAAATATCTATATAAACAGTTATTTATTTCAGTACTATGTGAACTTGCTGTTTTATATTTTATAGGCCTAGAATATTAATTGATCAAATACTGTTAACTCTCTAATACTTTTCAATTTCTTTATTCCTTTTGAAATATATACATATATAGAATGCATATATATTCTGATACTAAAATTTATCTGTAATATATTAAAATACTATACTCAAACATGTTCTTATAATTCTAATTTATTTCTCAAAATCAGTTTTATTTTATTTTATTTTTATTTATTTATTTTGAGATGGAGTCTTGCTCTCTCACCCAGGCTGGAGTGCAGTGGAGTGATCTCATCTCACTGCAACCTCCGCCCGAGTTCAAGTGATTCCCCTGCCTTCTCCTGCTTCAGCCTCCCTAGTAGCTGGGATTACAGGCACATGCCACCATACCTGGCTAATTTTTGTCTTTTTAGTAGAGATAGGGTTTTGCCACGTTGGCCAGCCTGGTCTCGAACTCCTGACTTCAGGTGATCCACTCTCCTCGGCCTCCTAAAATGCTGGGATTACAGGAGTGAGCCAGCATGCCCAGCCTTCTAAACCAGTTGTAATTTTTATTGAAAAATATATAGAATTAAATTTCTTCAATTATATCAAATTTTTGTAAATGTAGCCTAAATTTTATGTTCATAGAAATTAGAAATTCTATTGTCTGCCTACTTTTAATATAAAAATTACTTTTTACAAAAACAATTAAGGCTATTTCATAATGAGAATGCCTTTGATTGTCATAGACACACATGCACACATACACTTCAATAAATGTATTAATACCTTTGAATACTATCCATTTTTTAATTCATAGCATCATTCTATGTAGCCAAAAAAAATCATTGTAAAATTATCTGTGAGTCATATTATTTGTTTTGGTTATATCCAATGCCCTATGAGCTTATAGATGTGCATACCACTTATAATAAACTCCCAGGGTCTTCCAGACATAAATAACTGCATAAAGTAACTCCAACCTGAATTAATTAAAAATAGATATTAAATGGAAAACCAACTAAATCCGTAAGACATCAGGTAATTGCAAGTGTGCCATAAGTAGGCAACATATTTGAGGAATTTCTTGGAAACAGAAATAGAAAAGAATGAAAACCGACTGGTTAATTTAAAGCATATTCTCAATCTTAAAAACTTTAGGAAATTATTCTTTTCAGTGAAAGCAATTTTGAAAAAGAAACTGCAAGAACTCTGAGCCCCACATTATTGAGGGAGAGTTACAAAATTAGGTCATGGAGTGTTTTACAAAACCCCATGGGAAGCCAGACTGGTCATCTCATCCTCTTCCCCCATAAGTTTAAAGCTCCTTGCTGCAAAAATTCATACAGGGGTAAGAATTAGAGAAAAACAAAAGTGGCATCTAGTGGCTCGCCAGCTCTGATGTCAGCTCCCAGCCAAAATATTACTTAAGTATATTTCTTTGTCTAAGTCCCAGTGACTCACACAGAGATTCCTATGTTGATTCCTTCAATTAATTAATTGTTAGCTTACATATTTATTGAATGCTTATTATGTGCATCATACTCTTTTAAGTTCTTTCTATATATTAGCATGCAAAACAGTAATCCTTGCCTTCATGGAGCTTATATTTAGCAAGAAACAATGAAAATGAACAAAAAGAAAATAAATATGCAAATTGACTTGTGTGTTAGAAAGTTGTGAATGGCAAGGATAGAAGAAAAAGGTAGTGCATTTTGAGGAGGTTTTTGGTGTGAAAGCACTGTGATGGTAGAATATAATATTACAAAAGGTGGTTAGGGTAGGCCTCAGAGAATTGAATGTATAGCGAAACCGTGATGATAATAGAGAAAGCCAAATAGATGTGAGGTTATACAACATTGTAAATGTATTTAATGCCACTGAATTTTACACTCACAGGTGATTAACATGGGAAATATTATGTTAACATATATTTTACCTCAATAAAAAGAGCCATGAAGCCACAAAAAATGCATGAATAAATAATAAATGCATATTGCTAAATTATAAAGCCAATCTGAAAAGGTTAAATACTCTATAATCCCTATTACATGACATTCCAGAAAAGGCAGCATATAAAAGTGATTAAAAAGTCAGTGGTTGCCAAGTGACAGGGATGGGGAGTAGAGAGGGGTGATCAGGTGAGAGACAGAATTTGAAACTATTCTATATGAGATTTGAAACTATTCTATAAGGGTTTTGAAACTTCTATATACTGTAATTGTATATACAGTATATATAATTGTAATTGTATATACTATATACTGTAATTGTATATACAGTATATAGAATTGTAATTCTATATACTGTAATTCTATATACTGAATACATAACACTATGCATTTTTCAAAACACTTACAGCACAGGGTGAATCTTAATTTATACTCTTTAAAAGTCATTTAAGAAGTCAGCAGAAGCCCAGCATGAAATGCAGACTGTGACAAGAAAAAAAAATTTACAAATCTGTAACACAAACTCAATGTAGTGAGTGGAGAGAAAAATTTCTGACCAGACAGCATTGCAAATGAGTTGATTTTAAGACAAGGAAAACTATATACAACTTTTAATACAACTTTATCAGCTATAAAGTTAGCCTGTTACTAACTTTATAATACTTGGCCTATTACTAACACCTGATACAGCTGATACAACTTTATCAGCTATAAAGTTGTATTAAAAAGGTTATAGTTAAAAACATTGATAGTGCTATCATGTACATTGGAATTGTACAATTAAATGTAAATGAATCATTTGTGATGAGAGTCATGCTTCTCACAGTTTGAGCAGGAATTCATGGATGAGCAAGAAAAGAAGGCTAGAATCCTCCATGAAATAATGGATTACAATTGGAGACCTCGGTATGAATTTATATCTAGCTTACTACAGATACAGATAGGTATATATAGAAATGTTTACACATATATGTTGTTTTAGTCTATTCTCATACTGCTATAAAGAACTACATGAGACTGGGTAATTTTTGAAAAAAAAATTGAATTAACTCATAGTTCCACAGGCTGAGCAGGAAGTATGGTTAGGGAGGCCTCAGGAAACTTACAATCATGGCAGAAGGCAAAGGGGAAGCAGGCAGATCTTCACATGGTGGAGCAGGAGAAAGAGAGAGTGAAGAGGGAAGTGCTACACACTTTCAAAGCATGAGAACTCACTTGTTATTATGAGAACAGAAAGGGGGAAATCCACCCCCATCATCCAATCACCTTCCACCAGATTCCACTCCCAACATTAGGAATTACAATTCAACATGAGATTTGGGTGGGAACACAAAGCCAAACCATATCACATGTATATACCAGAGTTAGTATACAAACATGTATTTCCTTTCTCTGTTAGCTGAGAGGGCCTGGAGCAAATATCCCTGTAGCAAGGAGTATACTTATTACCCAGTTCCTGCTTTGTGATATCTTTCTCCAATCGAAGGAACCAGTATTTCTTGGAGAAATGACTGATTGTAGCACTAGAACAGGAAACATATACACAATGAGTTTGGAGCACCTCAGATTCCTTGTAGTGCCAGAAAATAAGAAATTCCTCAAAAATAAACAATCAAGAAATGTTAGAAGGATAGATCAAAGCAGCACAAGAGCCAGCTGAAAGAGCTCCTAGAACAACTTGAGCAATAAAACAAATAAATTAGTATTAGTTTATAAAACAAAATATAAAATAAAATAAATATTTATAAGTCCATAATTATTTGAATAAATAAGTGGGAAGAAGAGACATTTCACATGCAGAAGAATTACAAATAATTCTTATACATTTTCTGTCCTCCTGGAGATGGGACATAACTCCCTACTCTTTAAGTTGGGACTATGCATGGATATTTCCTTCTCAGGGGTACAGTGTGAAATGGAGGAATAAGAGTACCTTGACTTTGATAATCAAAATAAAAATGCCAAACAGTATCTCATCTGGACAGTCAGGTTTAATATAAATTGTGGTAAGACAATGACAATATGTACCCTTGATAAGATAGAATGCCAATGGCACTTCATCTCTGTTGCATTCCTGTGAATTACATATAAACCCAGTTTAATGATGAGAAAAAAACAACAGACATATTCAACTTCAGGGACATTCGATAGAATACTTGGCCTGTTACTAACACCTGTGAAGGTCACCAAAAACAAGGTAAGTTTGAGGAAATGTCACAGCCAAGAGGAACCTCATGGGACACAATGATTAAATGAAAGTCGTAACCGATGAGATCTTGGAAGAGAATAATAACATTAGGCAAAAACCAAGGAAATATGAATAAAGTATGGACTTTAGTTGATGGCAATGTATCAATATGCTTGTATTAATTATAACGATTGTACTTTATTAATGGTTGACATTAATAATAGGGGAAACTGAGTGCGGGCTTTCTGACATATCCCTGTATTCTCATCACAAATTTTCTGTAAATCTAAAACTATTTAAAGATGAAGTTTATTACTAAAAAGTTAACAAAGTGGCAGTATATAAGTTCAACAAAGAAATTTCAAATAGAAATTTTAAATTTATAAATAAAATCATGGAAATTGAAATGTCTTGTTCAACAGCATAAACAATTATATAGTACCTTATAATAAAATTTAAAAGTACAAAAACTGTACATAGAAATTTGAAACATTAAATAAGACCTAATAAATAAAGGTATATATTAGGCCTTGATATGCTTTAATAAAACAATATTTGATATTGATTTTTTCCTATGAAATGTGTCTAAGTATATTATTTTATTTGATTCATTAAGAATTTTGTAGTTATCTTTTTGCTATATATATATTTTTTCTTTTCTGCAACCAGAAAACATATTAAGGCCAGCTCTTGATTGGTTTTAATCAGTCTTCCATATGCCATTAAAACTAATTTAGACTCTATCATTGTTATTTGCTATGTAATATGTATGCAATGTAATATATGAGTCAGTTTTGTTCTTTTGCTCAGATATTTTATGTTTTTGATTAAATTTGTCTGGTTATTCCATCTGTTGTTAAGTGGATATTTTTTATTATTAAACAATAATATTCTTAATTTAGCACCTACATCCTTAATATATTATTTCTGTTATTTAATTCTACTGTAATTTCATTGTGCCAAAGTCTTCAAATGTCTTTAACATTCTTGTCTTAACCTTTTGTCTTGACTTTGTGCCTCTCCAAAAACTAAGTGGATCTGTATCTTGTAGCTCTTTCAGCTGAAGTCATTGTTATTATGCTACGTATGCAATGGAAAGGCATGAGGGAGAAGGTTTTATAATCTTCCACTTAAATCTCAGTCTTTCAGTGGGCCTCGGTCTCACGTCTATGGCCTTTGCAAGTGTTTCTCCACTGGTATAACTATTTTCCCCCCTTGCCTCATATTCTGTTTCATGTCTGCAGAATTCTGTTTTCTAAATTTATTGAGGTATAATTGATATGCAAAGAATCCCACATGTTTAATGTACCCAATTTAATGTGTTTGAACATATGTAAACATCCATGATACAATGATCATAATCAAGATAATAGGCATATCCAACACCTCCCAAGGACTCCTTAAGTCCTTTTATTTAAGTTTGTGTTTCGCTTTGCTTTGTGTTTGTTGTAAGAACACTTAACCTGAGAGTTATTCTGTTGATAGCTTTTTCAGAGCATAACACCACATTGTTAGCTTTAGGCACTAGGTTGAACAGCAAATCTCTAGAATTTCTTCATCTAGCATCATTGAAACTTCATGTCCTTGAATCCCTGACTCTATTGACTCTGTTTTGCTCCCACCACCTCCAAGAACATAAGCCGGGAAGGCTCTAAGGACCCGGGGTAAGAGGATTGCCATTCTTCCTCTTAGGAAAAGACCCAGGCAGTCTGTCCCCAGAGAGTATGTCTTATTATGGAGAAGGATTTGGGAAAATTGATTAACAATTACTTTTGTCATCGCCTTGTCAAAGCAATAAGGGAAATTTCCTGGGAACTTCCTCATGAAAACCTAGTAAGTTCCTGGAAATAAAGTCTCTAAGAGTTTGGGGCCGGGCGCAGTGGCTCACGCCTGTAATCCCAGTACTTTGGGAGGCCGAGGCGGGCAGATCACCTGAGGTCACCTGAGGTCAGGAGTTTGAGACCGGCCTGACCGAACGTCTCTATTAAAAATCAAAAAAAAAAAAAAAAAAAAAAAATTAGCCGGGCGTGGTGCCTGGCGCCTGTAATCCCAGCTACTCAGGAGGCTGAGGCAGGAGATTCGCTTGAACTCGGGAGGCGGAGGTTGCAGTGAGCCGAGATGGCGCCACTGCACTCCAACCTGGGCGACAAGAGTGAAACTCCGTCTCATAAAAAAAGAAAAAAAAAGAGTTTGGGGACCCCTGTAATACTGTGGTTCTGTGGAATTTATTACTTTAATGCTAGTTCATACTTATCTTCCAGTAATTTGCAAATATTAAAATTTTCAGTGTTCCTACTAGTTGAAGACTCCAGTGTCTTTTGATCCAGATGAGCATATCTCAGCTGTGAATTTCTGGATGTGCCTATCTCTCCAGAGCAGGATCATAGTTTTTCCTGAAACCAGAGTTCTCTGAGGAGAAAATTTCAGTTGGTCCACCTTTTCTTTTGGTAAGGACCACAGGAATGACTTCTAAGCAATTTGCCTGTCAGAACTAAAACCAGAAGTTCTACCTTATTATAACTTAAAAATGTTTATGTTTAGCAAGTTCTTGATACTGTTAGAACTTATGAGTCCTTGAAATCTTTTTCATTTTCCTTTTTTGCATTATTGTCATGCATTTTATTTCTACAAATAGTTTAAACCACATAAGACACTAGCATGCTTATAGTGTGTTGATGGTATTTATTTATATTTTCTCATCTTTTCATCCATTTGTGATCTTCATTTCCTCTAAATTTCCATATTTTTATGGGATTAGTATTGTTTTGTGTAAACAAATTTATTATTTCTCATAGTACAAGTTTGATTACAATATATTTGCCTACTTTTTATATGACAAAACAATTGTTTCTGCGCATTCATTTTTGAAGGACAGTTTTCTTTCATGTAGAGTTCTACATTAGTTATTATTGTTATTATTATTTAGTATGTTTTGGATTTTATTGTATTGTCTCCTAAACTTCATTGTTTTGCACAAAAAGTTAGCCATTATTTCTGTTGTTGCTCCATGTAAGATAAAGTCTTTTTTTTTGGTGGGGTGAGTCTCTGTTCATATCGGTTTTATTATAATGTCGGCAGGTGTGACTTACTTGGATGTTTATCTTGCTTGTGATTTGCTGGCATTACTGGACACCATCTCTTTTATAGTTTGTCTGACTGTGTTTATCTTTTATTCTTCTGGGATTTCAATAATAATGTTACAAAACTTGTGCAAATGTCCTAAATGTTACATACACTCTTTTCTGTTATTTCAATTTTTTTACTCTTTTTTTTTTTTTCGGTGACTCAACTTGTCTTACATTCATGTTTCATAATCTTATAATCTGATTTTTGCAAAATGCTATTAAGCCTTTCTTTTAAAAAAGTAGTTATAATTTTTGCTTCAGAAAAGAATCTGTGATTTCTGTATGTAGATTCAAATTTCCTGACATTATTTTTCTATTTTTCCCATTTATTCCTTAATTAACTTTAACATGATTATCCTATTTATGGTATCTGATAATTGAAATGTACTGATTATCTCTGGGATGACACCTAATATCTGTTTTTTTCTTAGTCGTATATTCTTTACTCTTCATATGTCTAAACATACACAGCCACACACACACACTCTCTCTCTCATACACACACACATACACACACACTCAAGATAGAGTGATTTTATTTTCAAATCATAGAGAGTCCCTTTCATTTGCTAGAAAGAAAGCTTGAGGGGTTGAATATCTCCATTTATTCTGTGATTGAACTGGGTCGAGACTGGATTTTACTTTTAATAAGACTTATTTCACCTCTAGTCGTGTCTGTGGACTCATAGCTGAGAATGAAAACCTATCGGGTGCCCTTCTTATCAACACTAAAACTTTGATAAATGTAGTTCTATTTTTCAGAGCTCCTCAGAACAGTTTCTCCAATCAGAAACTAACCTAGTGCTTAATTTGGGAGCTTTGTCCTGGTGAGTCTTTGTTTCCTATGCACTATGCAATGTAAGATGTTGCAAAATTTCTTTTAGAAGCTCGTAAGCCAGCACCTTATGCTCCTTTAATGCCACAAACTTATCAGGTGGTCCTTTGGGGTAAGTTAAAGATGCATTTATGGTCTCTCAAAGATATATTCCCGATTCATGTGATAAAGAAAAGCTTTGCAGTTTCTTTTAGCCCCATTTGGGAGACGCTCCCTTGGTCAAGCCCTACTTTTAGCTTATAATTAGTATAAGCAAATTTCCACAGATGAAAAAGTGGCCAGTTACCATCATCTTTCCTTAGAATTGTTCTCCCTTCCTGGTAATCTTAATTAATTTAGACTTCAATGTGTTCACAGATCTCTGACATATATATATATACACACACACACACACACACTCATTCATTAAATATATAAATAAATTTATATTTATTTATATATAATTATATAAATTATAAATATATCTTTAATGAATGTGATATTTTCTAACGTTTTTAGCAGAAACATTGGCCTATAAACCTACTACTTTTGATCGAGAGGTAAAAGTTCTCTTTCTATTTTAAGTTCAGTAACAACTGGTGTGGTCCCTATTCCTTGACTTAGTAATTCCAAGGATTAGAATATATAACATGAAAGTATTAGGTTGGTGCAAAAGTAATTGTGTTTTTGCCATTTAAAAGTAAAGGCAAATCACCATTACTTTTGCACCAAAATAATATTCAAAAGATATGAAGACATATGTACAAATGTGATTATTGCAGTCATGTTTAAAGTAAAAATTTGAAATATCTATAAGCAAAATCAGTTATTAAGTATGACAATTTAGTACAATTCTCTCTGAGAGAATTCTGTGTTTACATTTAACAATAAACCATATCTATAAATATTAACATCAAAGATAAACATAATGTTAACAGACAAACCTGATGGAAGATTGTAGGGGAGGCTCTGAGAGGTGTTCTCTGTTGCTGGTAATGTTGTGACTCTTGATTTGTGTCTTGGTTATAAAAATGCTAAATTTTGGAAATTCATTGAAATATACAATTATTAATGTTACACTTTTCCATATGCATGTTATACTTTAAATATGTACATATTGTTAAAAATATAGAATGATATCTATAAAAATATAGAATATCTGTAGTGTAATAAAGTATAATAAAGATATAACTGTAGCTATATTTATATCTGGATTTATTATTTATATCTTTATAAGTACAAGGAAATTGTAAGAATGAAAATTTCCAGGCAAAAGTAACTTTCACATTATATGCTACTACTCTGTTTAAAATAATTTATTTCAGCATTTTTTTGAAAAAATATACAATAAAAACATATTAATATCTTATATGGCAATTTCCGTTTTTGTATGTGTTATATATTTAGACTAGGAAATAATATTAATTTTGATAAAAGTATTTTTACAAACAGATACCACTACTTTCTTTATTTCCATTCTTCAACTTATATATTCCTTGGAAGCATATAATATTATTCAAAGAAGAAAATAAAAGAATGAATGAAGTTAGAAAGGTAAGATGGGTGAAAAGGAGAAAAGAAGGAAAGAAGTAAAGAAGAAAAGTGACAGAGCAGTAGGTAAAATATTAGTTATGCCAAAATAAGTACATATTTAATTAAAATTAGAAAAAATGAAAAAAATGGTTGTGAAGCCAATTTTCTTGATTTATAAGTGCGTGAGTTTAACACCTACTGTGTTATCGATGGCATAGGAAGTTATATGTGAAACATCCATATATGTTATTGCTAATTCCCATGCATTGCATGTGTGTATTGGTGTGTGTGTGTCTGTGTGTGTGTGTGTATTTAAATAGCACATAGTATAAATTGTATGTGAAGCACTTTTCATGTTAACTCTAAATTTAATTTCATGGTCACCTCATAAAGAGCTCTGGCTTTTTTTTTTCTGAGGCGTAAAAGTATGTGAAATTTGGAAAAGGGGAATGCAGTTGTAAATAAGGAGAGATGTTGATTTTTTTTCTTTTTTTTATTTAAAAAAAAAAAGAAAAGACACTTTTTTTTTTTCTAAGACAGAGTCTCACTCTGTCGCCCAGGCCGGAGTGCAGTGGCGTGATCACAGTCTCACTGCCGCCTCGAACTCCTGGGCTCAAGCAATCCTCCCGTATCAGCCTCTCTGTCATACACACACACACACACACACACACACACACACACACACACTGAAGCCTTCCATGTAGCTGGGACTACAGGAGCGTGCCACCCCACCTGGCTGATTTTTGTATTTTTTGTAGAGATGAGGTCCTGCCATGTTGCTCAGCCTGGTCTTAACTCCTAGACCCAAACAAACCTCTCACCTCAGCCTCCCAAAGTGCTGGTATTACAGGAGTGAATCACTGCATCCGGCAAAAAAGACAGATAGTGGTGATGGTTGCACAACCGCGTGCATATAGTTAATACCACTAAATTGTACACCTAACAATTGTTAAAATGGTAAATTTTATAGTATACATTTTACCATAGTAAAACAATATGTTTAAAAAGTCATGAGTGTAGTGTAGCAGAAGCTGTATCACTGGGATCAATATTTAACCAAGTTGCAGTAAACAGGACCAGAGAGCTTTGTACTACAGATACCCATATCTATGTATGTCTGTTAATTTTCATTTTAGTTTTATATATAATTTCCTTGTGAAAAATTTTGATGTCATCTTGACTGAACTTAAAATTTGATTGTGATCCTACCTTACTGTGGAGAAGAGTGAGATATCAGAGCATACATAGATTTTCAAGTGTGGACGTGGAACCAATAATCAACCAAGCATCAAGCAAGTTAAACCATCTAAGCCTAAAATTTTCCTGCACCAAATCTGATATTATTTTTTTCAACTATATAAAACTTGAAAAGTCATAATTTGTAATATTTATTTTTCACACTACATCAAGTGACAGTTATGCCACAAATCAAGTATATGAATTATAATTAACATTATTCTTTCAAACCTTCAAAGAATGCATGAAATCCAAAGAAAAGTATAGACAAATCAAATGTTAGCATATTCAAAGTCCTTTGAAAAAATGGAATTGAAAGTTAATTTAAAAGTGAAAGTAAAAACTACATACTATTCAGTACAAGGTACAGTTTCTAACACAATAGGCATTAGTATATTTTTTATTGTCATTCATAAAGGAGTGAAAGAGATATTTTAAAATAATAATTAATGTCAGTTTTAAGTGAATAAATTGGAAATATCTGGTTTTTCAGAGAGAATTGAGGAGTTTTAAAATGTGCATTTTCTATTTCTGAGCCATAAATGTATAATAATTCATTTAAATCTTCTGGGTTATTAAGTTAAATTGAGAAATGCAAATATGTCAACACATAATCATATAATTTGAGGTAATACACATAATCATATAATTTGAGGTAATAAAATCAGAAAACAATTAGATTTGTCTTTCTTTAGACATAGTCTTATGTCAAAGTATGCAACCAAATTCAACAAAGGCAAAAGGAGAGTAAATGTCAATGATTTGAATGAGAATAACCATGATGTATCAAGGATTATTTTAGAATAATTGTAAGCGACAGTGAGGCAAAGAAAAAGAGCATTTAAATGAAGTCATATGAAATAGATATGTAGGCATTAATTACAACTTATTTTACAACAATAGAGAATTATTTACTGACCTGGATATTATCTTTATCTCTTTCTCACCAATAAGTTTAGCTACATTTTAATAAGATAAATGAAACACCTTTAGATTTTTTCTAATCATGAAACTACCTCTCAAGTGTTAAAACGTTACTCAAAAGAAATTCACTTTTTCTCTATAGACATGGGCATTTTTTTGCCAAATCAAAAAAATCGGTTTTGTAAAATGATTCATATATAAAATCTAGGATGGATTATTACATCAAACTAATTCACAATATGGCAATAAAAATACTCTTTAATGGTTACAGATAATTGAACGCTTGCCTTTTTTATTAGCAAGGAAACATTTGGTCTGTGCATGAGTAGCAATGGCCATATGTGTCTATAATTAATTACAAATTACCTACTCAACTGGTGTTACCTGGAACAGCTGTTTTGTTTTTTTTTTCTCTAAAGCTAATGTTTAAACATTGAAATGTTCATTAACTCTGTAGCCATATGTACATTCGCATTTTTGTAATGCGGTAGTTTAATTATAAATATGAAAATTTATTCTTTGACAATCATCATAAGCATTAACATTTAACCAATAAAACGTGAACTCTTACACATAAGTGCTATGATTCCTGTTATTTAACTGTAGGAAGATTTCATGCCTATTACACTTCTCATTCTCCCAGGGTTTGTAGACTTGTTAGGTACATTAATCAGAGAATATAATGACAGCAGAGCCAAATCTGAGATTAAATATTTGCCTGAATATATTTCATTATATTTCTTTCCTTGAATAATATGATCCTGTAAGCTGATACAATTCCATGATGCATATTACTAGGCATAAAACTTCTCGATTATTATTAACAGATAACATAAAAAGAATATTTTTCAAAAGGAGAGAGAGAAGGTGAGAGACAGGGAGATTCGACAAGGTTGAATAAAATCAAAGATAGAAGAGAGGTACGTGAAGAGTGATAGTCCTGGAAATACCTCAAAGCAACATGATGGGCTTCTAGTAGAACTCAAAAAGTAGCAAGCAGTAAAATCTTCCTCTGTCAACAGTATGCAGGCTTTCAAGGTGGAAGGCGAGCATGTACTGATCAAAAATATACATATTTCATAAAAAAACAACATACATTTTACCTTTCAAAAATTCACAGCAATGACTCTAACATCTTATCCTATTTAATTAAAGTCCTAGCCTTTGTCTTGCATAAGATATATCATTTTATAATAAAGAGGAAATTATCTTATACACTTTTATTACAAACCAAAAATATGGAAAATATTTTTCGCATTAAGTACATCTAAATATGTAAGGAAACAAACTAGCACTTATAATAAAATATTACATGCAATGTATATGTATAATAGTGATATACACATATACACATACATGTATATATGTACCACAAACATTCATATATATGGATCAAATGTCTAGTCAGTTCAGTGAGAATCAAATATGTCATGACACATACATGAACCATGCTATAGGATATTATTATAGAAAGTCCTCTTGACCAAGAAAAAATTATTTTAAGATATATATATCAAAATGATCAAAATATGAACATTTCTTTGAAAATTATCTAATCTAATTAAATTGTTATCTATGTGCTTTGAATGTAAAATATAGAAGCAGCACTGTATGTATCATTCTACATTTGTATTGATTTTACTCCACAGTATTTGACAATGACATGAGTGTGTTCATCTCATATTTCAGAATTACAAAAAAATCATGCTAATAATGAAAAGAAACATTGTATAGATAACACTGTATATCTAAATGAACTTAGGATAAAATACTCATATTCTGTAATAATTTTAAATGGCATCAGGACAATATCTGAGATTTAGATTAAATTCATTATATCAATGTTGAACAATAATCACTTCAAATCTAATATCCATAAAATGGACAGAATTTCTTTAAATATGTAGTTTTTGGTAACTGAGACAAACAATTCAGATGATGCACAAAAACATAGTTGCATTGAATAACCTCTCATAAAAACTGTAAAAGTACTTCTAAGATATAACATTTTCCATGTGTATATACTTTTATTATTAGTAGGAGCATATTTAGAGCTATATAGTTATTAAGGCAGTGATATTTCCTATATGTCTTATAAGCATAAGGTATATTACACACTCTTGTGTTTTCTTTCTATCATTGTATACAGTATTTTATTTTCTAATTCCTCAGATGGGAAATAGATGCTTAGTGATATTATTAGTTGGATGATTGTACGTAGGAAATATCAAAGTGAGGATAAATATCTTAAGCCAAAGACTTTCATCTTAAACTTTTCATTAAAATGCTTCTTGTATCAAAACTTTATGGTTCGAATTTCTCTTTAAGTGATGTGTTCAATGCAAACATATGTTCTATAATGGTTTGATAAAGATGGTGTGTGTGTGTGTGTGTGTGTGTGTGTGTATCTGTGTGTGTGCATACAAAGAAACAGACATCACACAGTTATATCTTGGACAGGAGTCTGAAATGAACACCAAAAGAAATAGAGGTCAAACCTTGTAAAGAAAGGGTCAAAGACACTAAAGGAAAAAAAAATCATTTAAAACAGCATATAGGACAATGTGTCATAGAGTATAGAATGGTGAAATATGATAAAACATAAAAATTAGCAACATAAATATTACAACTCTGCAAGAGCAGTTCAAACTGTAAAAGTGGCAACCAGAATATTATAGGTTCAACATCAAATGATGATAAATTAAAATACATCTTGTCAGGCACACTGAGAAGTTCCCTAATGTATCCAAGTAATTGTTAAAAAAGAGAAAGAAGCATGGCAAGAGAAGGGTTAACATTGTGGCCTAACTTTCTTTTGCTGGAAGTGCCAGAAAGACAATGTTAAGAGAAAGACAGAAGATACAAGTGCCAAGATATATAAGCTTTCCATAAAATTAAGAAAATGTTTAGAAGGAAAAAAAGAAATTTGAGAGACAAAAGAAAACCAAAGGTAAATGATGTTTTAAAGATAGATGAAGCAAGGCGATTCTGTAACAGCCTTGAGTCTCCTTTAGAACTGAAGAGACTGAAGAAAAGTGGTTAAGTATATTGGAAATGACCTTGTTAAAGATACTTAGGTAGTTATCATTTTCAAGAGGTTACTTTTATAAACTTTTAATCAATGCAGAGTACACATGGGACATAAAACAGAAAACAACAGTAAAACATGTGGTAGAGTATTCAAAGGGTAAAGAATGTGACTCTGAGGTCATAAGATAACAGGGAGAGAAGATGTTGTATGAAATATTATGACTCTCTGAAGACCAGGTATTTTGGTATTTTACGGGCATTTTGGGAGTAATAGTCTGCAATCCACAGAGAGCAAGTGTATTAATCTCAACTCCATCTTCCTTCAGAGATGTGTCACATATTGTAAATGAGCAGTCTGCCTCTAATAGAGACACAAAGAAACTCAAGTATCATTTAAGAAAAGAAAAAAATTCTGTTTAACATTAATGCTGAAATTTAATTTCATTATTTTAATCAATATTTGTAATACTGCTTCTACCTGAAGAACTTCCTTTAATATTTTATAAGGTGCATACCAGCTAGGCATGAATTATTTTAGCTTTTTAATTTTGGAAGCTATAAATTCTTTTACATGTTATCATATTTATCTCTTTAGGTATAATAATATTTTGATTTTATTAGCTGCAATTTCATTCATTGTTTATTTTATCTCATAATGAATTTATATATTTTATAGCTGATTTTACTGTATATTTTTAGTCACATTCACACGCTTATGTAAACTACACATGAAAATATGCATATATTTATACATTATATATAATTATGTCAACCACCTATGTTTTTTGTGTGTAAATACAGATGTAGATATACCTTCTCCCATTTGCTTCTGGAGTAAAATAACATGATATTACATTTTACATAATTACTATTATGGATTTTTGTTTGTTTGTTTGTTTTGCAGCAGAAAATGTTAACACAAACTATAGGTGATCTGCACATCTTTGAGCCATTCAAAATTCATTACAACTAAATAAATGTAGAAATAAATGTTCTCCAATTGGCTCATACTTTACTATTATTCTCTTTTTTTTTTTTTTTTTTTTGAGATGGAGTCTTAATCTGTCTCCAGGCTGGAGTGCAGTGGCGCGATCTCAGCTCACTGCAACTCCGCCTCCTGGGTCCAACCGATTCACCCTCCGCCTCCCAAGTATCTGGGACTACAGGCATCCTCCACCACACCCAGCTAATTTTTTGTATTTTAGCAGTGATGGGGTTTCACCATGTTGGCCAGGATGTTCTCGATCTCCTGACCTTGTGATCCACCTGCCTTGGCCTCTCAAAATGCTGGGATTACAGATATGAGCCACCGCGCCTGGCCTATTATTCCTTAAAATGTCTGGACTTAGATATAAAACCTAAAACTATAAAAATCCTAGAAGAAAACCGAGAAAATACTATTCTGGATGTAGACCCTGGCAAAGATTTCATGACAAAGACTCCAAAACAAATAGCAACAAAAACAAAAATTTACATGTGGGACCTAATTAAATAAGAGCTCTGCACAGAAAAAAAAAAAAAAGTATCAGCAGAACAAACAGACAACCTACAGAATAAGAAAAACATCTGCAAACTATGCATCTCATAAAGGCCTAATATCTAGAATCTCTAAGGAACTTAAATCAACAAGCATAATACAATTTCATTAAAAAAATGGGCAAAGGACATAAGCAGACACTTCTCAGAAGAAGACATACATGCAGCCAAAAAGCATATGAAAAAAATACTCAACATCACCAATCATTGGAAAAATGCAAATCAAAACCACAATGACATACCATCTTACACCAGTCAGAATGGCTATTATAGAAATGTCAAAAAAATAACAGACGTTGGCAAGATTTACAGAAAAAAGAGAACACTTATACACTGCTGGAGAGACTGTAAATTAGTTTAGCCACTGTAGAAAGCAGTTTGGAGATTTCTCAAATAACTTAAAAAAGAGCTATCACTTAACCCAGAAGTCCCATGATTGACTATATACCCAAAGGACTATACATCATTTTACCGTAAAGACACACGCATACATACGTTCATTGCAGCAGCACCATTCACAATAGCAAAGACATGGAATCAATCTAGTGCCATCAGCAGTGGACTGGAATAAAGAAAATGTGGAACATACACATCATGGAGTACTACAGCCTGAAAAAAAAGAATGAAATTATGTCTTTTGCAGCACCTTGGATGGAGCGGAAGGCCATTACCTTATTGAGTTAACCTAGGAACAGAAACTCAAATACTGCATGTACTTACATCTAATTAGGAGCTAAACATTTAGTGCACATGGACGCAAAGAGGGGAACAAAACTGCACTGCGGCCTACTTAAAGGTGGAGGGTAGGAGGAGGGTAAAGACTAAAGAACTACCTACTGGGTACTATGCTCACTACATGGACAAAATAATTTGTACACCAAACCACAAGAACACGCAATTTACCCATGTAACAAATGCGCACATGTACCCTCTGAACCTGAAATAAATTTGGAAGGGAAAATGTTTTAAAATGTTTTTTTAAATAATTTTTTAATTAAAAATAAATAAGTGTCTACTACTTTTTTATCAATAAAACTAAATAAAACCATTGAAACAAATTTTTTGAGGGATTATCAATTAGTTAATGTTCCTATAGGGGAATTATCATCTAAACTAATTACAATTTTTAAAGAGAAATTAACATCATCAGCTACAATAGATATAATACATTGTCATGTTTGAACATTCTGAACAGAAAAAATTCAAGAAGTGACATGTTTTAAAGTAGACAATTATGTGCCCCATATGGTGGGTGACTATATATGATAGTTGAATAATTAATTTAAAATTTATTCTAAGTTATGATATGTTATTTTACCTGGGTTTTTTAATACCATCATGATTGAAATAATATTTGGTGAAAATAAGAAGAGTTAAAGAACATTGACTGAACCTTCGCTTAAGGAACTAAAACACAATTATGAAAAAGAATATATGTAAATGATGATCAATTATAAAAAGCAAAATGTCAAGTGGTACGTGAGTTCTTCTGTGTGCTTTGTCAGTCAAATGGCAAAGTGACCATTTCAGGCCCACAACTTTTTCTATTTTTTGTTTTTTTTGTAATTTTTAAACATTTCTAATTTTACTTTGAGACTTTGTAGAAACGATTCTCACTAAAAATGTTGAACTTGAAGAAAAACATATATACAAGGTACAGCCACACAACTTATATGTTTTTAGGCATTTTGCCATTACCCTAGTTAAACAAAAATGCTAAAAGAGTTTTCAGCATTACATAAAATTGGTCTAGTAAGAAATGAGTACTTTTATTTCAACTAACAGCTGTTCAAATATATATTTCAGATTCAGCCATGAGTGGATTCAAAGTATAGTAATACATGTTAAAATGACATTATGAGTCTGCAATGCATTTTAATTCAAAAGTTTCTGCATTAAATGTTACTTTTTATAAAGGAAAATATGATAAACTGAATCAAATATCTTGCTATCTTTTTATATCCAGTAAACGCCTTTTTAAATGGTAACAAAATAAAAAATCATAATCAAATATATTGTTAGTGTTAAAAGATTTGTAGGCTTGAGGAACACTTATGCTATAAGGCATTTATTTTCCTCTCTCCATCCTTCAAAAGTTCAGGACTCTTTTTTCTATAGTTCAATAGTGTTTGTGCTGTGCCTTTATTTAAGCTCTCATCATAGTGTTTTGGTGTTACTGTGTCACCACTATGCTATGTACTTATATAGGGTTTAGTTGCTATGTGTATATGGTGTCTTATTTTTCTTTTTATTCTTCCTAAGTACTGTGTTTGAGTCAACAATGATATAATATTTTTATATTAAATCATTGTTGATGATTCTGCAAATTTTTCTAATCAATATCTATAGAGCTAAAAATTACATACAGTGAAATAAACAGATCTTAATACTATTTGGCATAAGCATATTTTTTATGATTTCTTTTAAAGATTTCTATTTTGCCTTTTATTTTTAAATCAAAAATCTGTCTGGTATTAATATCGTACTTTTTTTACTAAGAGGCAAGGGTTGTGATTAATTTTTATTTTTATATATTTTCCCATCTCATTTAAGAAACTTTAATTTGCCGTAGAATTGTCTTAGCACCCTATTTTTTAAGACTAATTTATTTCTTTCTGCATCCAAACTTGTGTGTTTGGTTTTCTGTATTTTTCTTCTGCTTCACTGATCTTTTTGTCTATATGTATTGCAATACTACATCTTATTATAGCCTCACGACTTTTTTTGAAATTAATTTTTTTGAATTAACGTGAGCCATTTACTATTGTTCTTTTTCACATTTGTTTTAACAGTTGTAAATCCTCTGCATCTCCATAGAATTACAGAATCAACTGGAAAATATCTTTTTTAAAACACGTTTACTTAGACTTTGATTGTGTTTCCACTACAAGTCCACTCCACATTTCATGTGACGGATAAATTAAATATTGTTGTAAGCCATTGCGGTTTTGGGTTATTGTTATTACAGCGTACCTTAGGTTAAAGTGAAATATAAGCAAACTTTAACACAAAGAGTTTCTCTCCAACATGACTTCCTTGACAAGGTAATTTAAATAGCAGTTCTAGTCATTCTTGACCTTTTAATCCTTTTAAAATGTTAGCTTATGTCATCAATGAAAAAAATTCAAAATTTATTTTAGTGAAAATGATTTATCTCTATAATAGAACTACAGGGGTAAAGGAAAAATTTCCTCTTCATCCTCTGAAGGTTTACTAAAAAGTGAACTGAAAAAAAAAATCAACAGACAAGGCATATCAATTTATTTGGTCATAGTCTTACATGACATTGATGTGTTCAGAATGAAGACCCAAAGATACAAGAGAAATCGTCCATTTTAATACTTAGTTTTGATGGAGAATGGATGGCCATGTAGAACTGTGATTGGACACAAGAGTTACGTTTTCATAATCTATTAGACTGAATGAGGAAGCCCCAAAAGGCCTGTCTGTCCAGATTCTTCAGTGCAGGCTTCCTTCCTTCTGGGTATGGAGCAGGACCCTTTCTGAAATGAGGGTCTTATGACCTGCAATCAAACAAAGTAGGTCAGATAATTTCTTTATGGCCAATTTTTACATAGAACAGCAGGGGAAATAGTAACATTATTAGGTTTTACAGCCGAATGTGGGTAAAAAGGGTTCCGGTTTCTATGATCGGTTTCTATGATCAACCATGAGGAAGAGGGCTTCCAGATTCTACAGCTTGGGTCTGGGGAGAATAAGGGTGAGAGACAGGAGGGCATGAGAATGTCAGAGAGAAACTTTTGCTTCTGGGGCTGTTTCTGAAGCCTTTATTTTGGGGTATTGTTTTCTGAGCCCCAACAGAATTAGGGCCAGGGGAGTAGGTTATGAGCGGCTGCATGTTAGTCTCTAGAACATGGCCTGGTGAAAATAGGCACTTAAATACATATTCAAATAAAAAGTAGAGACATCCTCAACTCATTCTACTTTAGATAAAGTATATCAATTAGATTAAATCTTTTAGAGAAAGAATAATGTGAAACAAAGCACTCTTCTTTAACTGGGGATTTCTGGTATACACATCTTTAGGCATATCTATATTTATATATCTAAAGAGAGATAAATACACATTTTATGACAGCTGAACATTAATTTGCTCATTCATAAATATTTTGTCACCAATATGTGAAAGTTTGCACATAAAAAGTAGAACAGTACTGCATAGTCAATAAATTTGCTTATAATCAAATAAGGAAATAAGTGATTCATATATATATAAAATAATCCTAAAAGCCAAAAGGCAAGTGTCATAGGAATAATTCCACATGCAATAAGAGTGAAGACAATAAAAAGTCAATAATTTCAAATGTTTTGAGCTTTTACACTGAATGAGAAGTCCACTGCATGAGCAACAAAGAATCATTGATGAATTCATTAAAATCAGGTTTAGTGCAGTGCTCTGGGTAGAAGTTACTACAGTTTTATTGAGAAGTAGTATGGAGATGTATAAAATTATAGACATGGACTGAAAATCTCATTGCTAATGCTAGTTTTGATGGTAAGAAAAGAAAGCTTAGCTAGAGGGAAATATCAAAAAGATTACATATAATATATATATTTATAATGTAAATTCTTATTTGAAACATTCTTGGTTAATAGTATGTGTCTACCTCCCTGGTTTATAAATTTAGCCATTATCTATAGTTTTCTTTTTTAACAGTTTGGGAAAATGTATACAAATATTCACATTAAAAACATTATTTTTAATTTTAAAAAATTTTAATAAAAACCTTTTATAATAAATTGAAGACCATGTTCTCAACAGGACACTGTGTGTGTGTGTGTGTGTGTGTGTGTGTGTGTGTGTGTGTGTGTGTTCCATTAGGCAATAGCCATATTCTGAATACCTTTTCCTTCTCCATGAAGCAAGTTATGTTTGCCTTTCCTGAGTTTCACCCCACAGTGACTTGTACCAGTGGAATTTGCTATTGCTTCTTCAGTTGTTCTTAGTTCAACACATATAATCAATTTTCACACTTTCTAAAAGCCAATTTGCTTTATCATATAAACTTCACTATGTTGTCAATGACTAGTGATTCTCTTGTTACCTCTGAGAAGGAACACATTTTATTCCAGTATAACTTCATGTTTGTTGTAACTTTTTAGTAATGATAATTGCTTTAGTGATAATAATGGTAACTGTTTTAAGAGTGTATGTATTATAGAAGGAGACCTGTAGTTTTGAGGTATAAATCTAATATCATTTTGTTCCTTACCTTACAACAAAAAAAGATGCCATATGAACTTTCAGAGAGAATATTTGCTCTTTTAAAATCCATCTGTTAAATATTGAAGACTGGTTTTTTTGAACTAACCCACTGAGACAAAAAAATTAAAAAGTAATAATTTAAAATACATGAACAAAGTCTTTGAGAAATGTGGGATTATGTAAAGCAACCAAACCCACAAATTATTAGCATTCATGAGAGAGAAGAAGACAACATAAACAATCTGAAAAACATATTTGATAGAATAATTCAAAAAAATTTTCTAATTTTGCTAGAGAGGTAAACATCAAGATTAAAGATATCCAGAGAACACCTGTGAGAAACTGTACAAAATAAATACCACCAAAGCATACACTATTTGCACTGCACAAGGTCAATTAAAAAAAAATTTAAGACAGCTAGAGAAAAAGATCAGATTACATTCAAGTGGAACCCCATCAGGGCAACAACAGTGGATTTCTCACCAAAAGCCACAGAAGCCAGAATAAAAGGGGGGCCTTTTTTGGCATTCTAAAAGAAAAGAAATTCCAAAGAAGAAGTTCATATCTCGTCAAAAAAAGGCTTCTAAAGTGAAGGAGAAATGCAAATATTTTATAGACAAAAAATTGCTAAGAGTATTTGTTACCACTACCCCAACCTTACAAGAGATCTTTAAGAGAGTTCTAAACATGAAGAAAAAGAGAGAGAGAGAGAGAGAGAGAAAATCAATACCTGCCACTATAAAAACACACTGAAGTGAATAATCCATTGACCCTCTCAAGCAACTATACAACAGAAACTACAAAACAACCAGCTGATGGCTTCATCATAGGATCAAAACCTCACATATCAGTATTAACCTTGAACATAAAGTGTCTAAAAGCATTCACTTAAAAGGCACAGAGTGGTAAGTTGGATTAAAAAAAAACAAGATCCATTAATCTGCTGTCTTCAAGAGATACATCCGAAGTGTAATGGTACCCACAGACTCAAAGTAAAGGTTACAGAAAGATCTAACACAAAAACAGAACACAAAAGAGAGCAGGAGTGCCTATTATTATATCAGATAAAACAGAATTTAAACCTACGATTGTAAAATAGGACAAAGAAGGGCATTACATAATGATAAAGGGCTTAACTCAACAAGAAGATTTAACTATCCTAAAAACATATGCAGCTAACATGAGAACAATCAGATTTATCAAGCCAGTACTTCTAGAGCTACGAAAATACTTAAACAACCACACAGTAATAGTAGGGGACCTCAACACTCCACTGACAGCATTAGCTAGATCATTAAGGCACCAAATTAACAAAGAAACTCTGGACTTTAAATGAGACACTCTACCAATTAGACCAAATATATATCTATAGAAGACTCCTCCCACAACCACAGAATATATACTCCTGTCATGTATACATGAAATACAGTCAAAATTGATGACATCCTTAGTCATAAAGCAAATCTCAATAAATTCAAGAAAATTGAAATCATACCAAGCATAGTCTCAGACCACAGACGAATAAAAGTAGAAATCAACACCAACAATATATCTCAAAACCATACAATTATGTGGAAATTAACTTGTTCCTGAATGACTTTTAGATAAACAATAAAATTAAGGCAGAAATCAAACAGTTCTTTGAAATAAGTGAAAACAGAGAAAAAAAAATACCCAAAAGTGTGAAATGCAGCAAAATCAGTGTTAAGAGGAAAGTTTATAGCACTAAATGCCTACATCAAGAAGAGAGAAACATTGGCTGGGCACGGTGGCTCATGCCTGTAATCCCAGCACTTTGGGAGGATGAGGCACGTGGATCACCTGAGGTCTGGAGTTCAAGCTCAGCCTGACCAACATGGAGAAACTCCATCTCTACTAAAAATACAAAATTAGCTGGGCATGGTGGTGCATGCCTATAATCCCAGCTACACAGGAAGCTGAGGCAGGAGAATTGCTTGAACCCAGGAGGTGGAGGTTGTGGTGAGCCGAGATCGTGCCATTGCACTACAGCCTGGGCAACTCCAGCTGAGCGAAACTTCGTCTCAAAAAATATATACAAATAAAAAAAGATAGAAACATCTCAAATTAACAACTTAACATCACACCTATAGAAACTAGAAAAATAAGAACAAATTAAACTCAAAGCTAGAAGAAGAAAAAAACCAACTCAAATTAGAGCAGAACTTAATGAAATTGAGATCCAAAAATCTATATAAAGAATTAATAAAACCAAAAGTTGGTTTTGCAAAAGACTAAATAAGATCAATATACCACTAACTAGATTAACAAAGAAAAAAATGGGAGAAGATCCAAATAAGCATAATCAGAAATGACAAAGTTGACATGATAATACCCCAGAAATATAAAAATTAATAGCATACTGTTATGAACTCCTCTATGTATACAAACTTGAAAATCTAGAAGAAATGGATAAATTCCTAGAGACACACCACCTCCCAATACCGAGTAAAGTAGAGATCAAAACCCTGAGCAGACCGTTATTGAGTTGCAAAATTGAGTTAGTAATAAAAAACCTACCAATCATCAAGAGCACTGGACCAGATGCATTCACAACCAAGTACTACTAGACATACAAAGAATAGCTGGTACCAATATTATTGAAACTCTTTAAAAAATTGAGTAGGAAGAATTTCTCCTTTACTCATTCAACAAACCCAGCATCACCCCAGTAGCAAAGTCTGTCAAAGATATGACAAAAAAAAAAAAAAAAAAAGAATCCACAGGCCAATATCCCTGATGAACACAGACACAAAAATCTTCAACAAAATACTAACAAACTGAATCCAGTAGCACATCAAAAATTAATTTACTATGATTAAGTGATTCTTGTGATGCAAGGTTGGTTCCACATACACAAATTAATAAATGTGATTCACCACAAAAATAGAATTAGAAACAAAAAACATATGGTTATCTCAATAGATGCAGAAAAAGCTTTCAATAAAATTCATCATCCCTTTATGTCAAAAACCCTCAAGAAACTAGGCAGCAAAGGAACATACCTCAAACTAAAAAGAGGCATCTATGACAAACTCATAGCTAATATCATACTGAATGGGCAAAAGCTGGAAGCGTTCCCCTTAAGAACAGGAACAAGATAAAGATACTAACTCTCACAGCTTCTATGCAACATAGTACTAGAAGTCTTAGCAAGAGAAATCAGGCAAGAGAAATAGATAAAAGCTATCCAAATAGAAAAAGAAGAAGTCAAATTAACTCTCTGCACTGACAATATAATCCTACACCTAGAAAACCCAACAAAATCAATTTATAAAAATTAGTAGAATTTCTATACACCAATAACATTTAAACTGACAGCCAAATCAAGAACATAATCCCATTTACAGTAGTGACAAAAGAATAAAATACCTGGGAATACCTGTAACCACAGAAGTAAAAGATATATATACATCTTATGTATATATATATATGTGTGTAAACATAACACACACACACACATATATGTATATAAGCAGAATAGCAAAACACCCTTGAAAGAAATAATAGATGACACAAACAAATCAAAAAATATTTCAGCCTCACGGATTGAAAGAATCAGTATCATTAAAATGGTCATATTGCCTAAGGCAATCTACAGATTCAATGCTATCTTTTTCAAACTACCAACATCATTTTTCGCAGAATTAGAAAAACTATTCCAAAACTCATATGGAATCAAAAAGGAGTTTGAATAGCCAAAGCAATCCTAAGCAAAAGGAACAAAGCCAGAGGCAACACATTAAGTGACTTCAAACTATACCATAAAGCTATAGTAAACAAAACAGCATGCTACTGTTCCAAAAATAGACACATAGACCAATGGAATAGAATGGAAAACGAAAACGAAAAAAAAGAAAGCTGCACATCTACCATCATTTGGTCTTTGACAAAGTTGATAACAATAAACAATAGATAAAGTAATCCCTATTAGTAAGTGATGCTGGGACAACTGACTAGTCATGTGCAGAAGAATCGAATTGAACTCCTACCTTTCACCATGTATAAAACTTAACTCAAGATAGATTAAATATTTAAGTGTAAGACATAAACTATAAGAATCCTAGAGGCTGGCTGTGGTGGCTTACGTGTGTAATCTTAGCACTTTGAGAGATGGAGGGGGGCAGATCATTTGAGGTCAGGAATTCAAAACCAGCCTGGCCAACATGGTGAAACCCCATCTCAACTAAAAATATAAAAAACTAGTGGGGCATGGTAGTGCACGCCTGTGATCCCAGCTACTTGGGATGCTGAGGCAGAAGAATTCCTTGAACTCACGAGGTGGAGGCTGCAGTGAGTTGAAATTGTACCACTGCACTCAGCTGGGTGACAGAGTGAGACACTGTCTCAAAAAAAAAAAAAATCCTAGAATAATCCTAAAATAAAAATAATCCTAGAAAAAAAAATCCTAGAATAGGAAATTGTCTTCTCAATATCAGCCACAGCAAAGAATTTATGCCTAAGTCCTCAAAAGTAGTTGCAACAAAATTAAAATTGGCAAGTGGGACCAAATTAAGCTAAATAATTTCTGCACAACAAGAGAAAATATCAACAGAGTAAACACACAACCTACTAAAAGAGAGAAAATATTCACAAACTATGCATCTAACAAACTTTAATATCCAGAATCCATAAGAAACTCAAGAACAAAACAACCCCATTAAAAAGTCAGCAAAGAATATGAACAGACGCTTTTCAAAAGAAGACGTACATGTGGCCATCAAACATCTAAAAATATGCTCAACATCACTGATCAACAGAGAAGTGCACATCAAAACCACAGTGAGATACAATCTCACACAAGTCAGAATGGCTATGATTAAAATGTCAAAAAATAACAGACGTTGGCAAGGCTGTCTGGGGCAAAGAACGCTTATTCCCTGTTGGTGGGAATGTAAATTAGTGTAGCTACGGTGGAAAGCAGTTTGAAGATTTCTGAAAGAACTTAAAACAGAACTACTATTTGACTCAGCTATCCCATTACTGGGTATATAACCAAGGGAAAGTATATCATTCTACCAAAAAGACACATGCACTCATATGTTCATCACAGTACTATTCACAATAGCAAAGAAAAATGTGGTGCACATATACCATGAAATACTATGCAGCCATGAAAGAGAACAAAATCATGTCCTTTGCTGCAACATGGATGCAGCTGGAGGTCATCATCCTAAACAAATTAATTCAAGAACAGAAAACTGAGTACTGCATGTTCTCACTTATAAGTGGAACTAAACATTGTGTACATATGAAAATAAAAGTGAGAACACTAGACACTGGAGACTTCTAGAGGATGCAGAGAGGGAGGAACTGAGTGGCTGAAAGAATTATCTATTGGGTACCATGCTCATTACCTGCATGATAGGAACTTTCATTCCCTAAACCTTAGCATCACGTAACAAACTTATATAACAAACTTGCTCATGTACTCCCTAAATCTAAAATGAAAGGTGAAATTATTTTTATAATGATAATAAAAATAAATAAATTGCTTCTGTGGTTTCAACAGTTGCAATTTATAATGAAATTGGATACTGCAATTAACCACTCTCTGATCAGTACAAATTTGAAAGCAATATGCCTTAATCACATTTTGCCCAAATTAGAATGGCTGAAATGCATTCATTCCATTTTGCCCGTGAATTTTTAAAAATCATTTTGAAATAAGGGAAGGGGGTAATATAAGTGATGAATGAGACTTTTCCACTTCACTGTGGTGGCTAAACAATTTTTAAACTTGGTATTTATCACTACATATCAGAAAATACCATTTTGGGGAGATATATTTTATCAACTTAAAATAGAACACACTAGGATACAGGCTGGATTAATATGGATATTTGATAAGCATGAAACACTTTCGCTATCAGAGATAAAATAGAATATGGGCCCAGGCACAGTGGCTCACACCTATAATCCCAGCACTTTGGAAGGCCGAGGTGGACAGATCATCTGGAGTCAGGAGTTTGAGACCACCCTGGCCAACATGGTGAAACCTCATCTCTACTGAAAAAAAAATTCAAAAATTGGGGCCAGGGGCGCTGGCTCATACCTGTAATGCCAGCACGTTGGGAGGCTGAGGTGGGCGGATCACCTGAGGTCAGGGGGTCTAGACAAGCCTGACCAACATGGCAAAATCCTGTCTCTACTAAAAATAAAAAAATTAGCTGGGGTGCTGGTGGACCCCTGTAATCCAGGAGGCTGAGGCAGGAGAATCACTTGAACCTGGGAGGAGGAGGTTACAATGAGCCAAAATTGAGCCATTGCACTCCAGCCTGGCGACAGAACGAGACTCCATCTCAAAAAAAAAAAAAAAAAAAAAAAAAAAAAAAAAAAATTAGCCAGGTGTGGTGGCAGGTGCCTGCAGTCCTAGCTACTCAGGAGGCTGAGGCAGGAGAATTGCTTGAACCCTGGAGACAGAGGTTGCAGTGAGATGAGATTGTGCCACTGCACTCCAGCCTGGGCAAGAGAGCAATACTCTGTCTCAAAAAAGAAAAAAAAAAAAGGGAGAGAGAGAGAATATGGGTGAAGTAAGCAAACAATGGTATAAAGGTGCTTTATGGTTTTAAAAAATAAAATGGTAAGCCCATTTATGTGCTGAGATGACCACCGCAGAGTCATCATTAGATATATTTTAATGAAAAATAATGTGCCTTATTTACTTGTCAGAGACTGCTTTTTAAGTAAAGAGAAGAAAGCCATTTTTCCTCAGTAGGTCTAAGCTACTGTCACCTTCATGCCGAATGAAGCAATAGCACAGCAGCATATCACTTAAAGGATTCACTGAGGAGGATGCATTCTGTTTATATTTATTACTGTTATTCTTTTAAAATGGCCTAACTTATTCATTGGAGAGAAAGACCTTAATCAGTTTAAAATTGCCTTTATGTATAAGAGTATTTACTAGATGAGCAGCAGGTGTAGCAGTCAGAATGATTGAGAAAATATATTTAAAAACAGTGGGAACAGAAATTAGATAGCAGAAATGGCACTTAATTTCCTCATCATGCTCATAGAACTGTAATGGTTTCAGAGAAAGCATCAGCTGTTAGAGAATGAACATGGAAGTATATAAAGAACCAAGTATTTAAGGAACTCAGTGACACAAAAGTACAGGTTACCATGAGAGTTCTTGGGGGCATGTAATGATTCTTGAAGTCGTCAGAGAATGCTAAAGAGAGGAAGCGATAACTAGATCACGAAACTACAAACACGGTTTGGATAAGATTGAAAGATGCATTAAATAAATAGTCTTTGAAAAGGTTGGGAAGTGAGAGAATGATTCATATGTTTTACAAGGCAAGGATATTTAAGAGAGACTTGCAAAAAGTCCAGCAGAAGGGTGAAATGAGCTGGGCAAGATAGATTTCGGATTTTTTACTGACTGTAACTAGAACTCACTGAAAAGTTTTTATCTGAAAAATAAAATGACTTTTTTAAAGAAAGAAACATATCTAGCTAACATTGGAGACCAGATTAAAGTAGACAAGACTGGCTTCAGGCAGATCACATTAGGAGACTGACCTAAGACATTTGGAAAGGAAGTGAGAGTCAAAGAAAAGAAGAAAATGTCTGGGAGTTTGGAAGTCAATTTTGGAAGTCAGAGTTGGGGAAAAGGGATACTTAAATATGGTTCCTATATATTTGCTGATGTTAGTGTCACAGTAAGTTATCAAAATAGAGATGTCAGTAATAAGCTCATATCAGAAGTAATCTGATTCTGGAGGCCATAAAAAGCCAAATGAGAACTCGAAAATGGAGATATAAGTGATGATGACTTTGGAACACAGACAGGTTTACAGAAAAGTAGATGTCGATTGAAAGGATTTATTAAAGTGAGAAAAGTTGATATTACAAAAGTGAAGTGATAATTTATACATATGAATAAAGATTAGTCTCTGAGAATAAAGATTAGCGTGGAATTTAGAGAAATAAAATAACTAGCCTTACAGACAAGGAAGAAAAATGCTTTGCTCCCTGAAAACAAAAGGAAGAAGGAAAGATGTGAACCTAGTGCAAATGAAGACAGCTATAGCCGAGGTGGCAACTAATCATGGGAGGTTTTATTTGATAGTTTTTAGCTTCTTCATAAAGTAGCAGTAGAGATCATCTGTAACACTGAAGGGAGAAAAAAAAGTAAATTTGAAAAATAAATAGAAGCTCAAATAACTATGTGGAAAAGCGGGAAGAGAGAATTTACTGTTTTTAGTAATGCAAATCTGAAAGTCATTAAAGACCATGAATTGATCAATAGTGGAATTTATCTGCTTTTATTATTACATTGAACTGGTCTTCTCCAGCAACTCTTAACAACTTGCATGCAATAGCAAAAAATAACACATGGAAAGGTTTGGCCAGGAATGTGCAATGTTAAAAAAAAAGTTGAGAATGCTAGCAAGATAATGTTTGAAATGATGAACTAGGGTAATTTAGGCTTAAAGGAGTAAGGAAAGAGGAAAGAATAAAAAAAGTGAAGGAAATGAAGTGTAGAATGAGGCAGAAACATAGAGGATTTGGAGATAACTGAAGAAGAGTTCAGGAACTTTCTGGAACCACTGACCTATAATTATGTGTTTCACACTATCTATGTCACCCAGCCCTGGAATTTTCTGTTAGGCCTTACATTTACCCACTGGCAACTTCAACTGTTGATATCAGTCTCCTTTTCTTAATAATACATTAGCATTTCTAGCTAACTTATTCAAGTTTTTCCTGAATAAGAAAATGGTATGAAGATACTTAACAGTTTTAGTCTACAATTTTTTTCTGTTTTCTTCACCTTTGTAATATTCTTTATTCCCTTCTTTTCCACGTATAGTCATTCTTCCTTTAACTGAAGGTTTTTGTTCTGTGGTGTGAATGGTGCTTGAGATGAAATTTTTTCTTTCATGATTTTGTGCTTTCTAGTGTAGTTTCTCATTAAACTTTATGCACTCTTCATTGGGAGTCATCCTTGGAAGTTATAAGCCAAGTGTGTCATGACACATGCATGGTTTTTAGGGGTAGTATCATAATTGTTTCAACATTTTCTAGTACACTTTTGACATATTTAATTTGGTTCATTTAATAGTTGTTCCATATTGATCCTAAATGTGACATGAAATAATGAATGAAACAGTTTCTTTGTTGAAGAACCATTATCAACTAATCCGACTTCAAAATTATTGACTTTATTTTGTGATTGCATGCTTAATGTCTCTGCAAATTCCTGAATATTTCACACTTCCTCAGTATATACAAGTGGTGGGGTTCTCTGATGTCTTAAGTAACTTACAGATAACCCTGAAATTTATGCTCTTACTCCCAGTAGCCTTGTCAAATTCATAAACAACTACATGCAGAAGAACAAAGCTTTTTGGAGGGAAAATCCAAAATCACAAGAGACAAACACAAATCTATCTAACAAAATGAAAATGTTAAACTATTTTTTAAATTATTAATGTTCAGTAACACACATTTCAATATTTTTTCTTACTTTGCAGCAGCTATAACACATATGTTTGCTATTTTAAATTATAGAGAGATAATATTAGAATGTTAAGACCTATTGTGGAAGGACTTCTGGCTTCAAGATTCTAAGTGTCCTCCTGGGGACAAGATGGAGTAACTTAACATGATTTTCTGGGGTCATCTTATTGGCACAAAAAGAAGAGACAGGAAGATGCTGTGGGGAGCGGTGGCAAGTATAAGATAATTTTTTCATGGTGAAGTGGGGAAAAATTTTCTGTTGACTTTATGTTTATCTAATCTGTGTTTTAGATACTAATTCAGGAACCTAAGATTCAGTAGTTCTGTATGTTCTTCTTTTCTATTTTTGTAAATCTGAACTTTCATTAAAATTTTCAGGGACATAAATGATGCTGGAGGTCATTATCCTTAGCAAACTAACACAGGAAGAGAAAACCAAATACCACATGTCCTCACTTGTAACTGGGAGCTAAATGTTGAGAACTTACAAACACAAAGAAGGAAATTAGAGACACTAGGGTCTACTTCAGTGGGGAAGAGTGGGAGGAGGGAGAGGAGCAGAAATGATAATTATTAGGTACTGGGCTTAATAACTGGGTGATGGAATAATCTGTATAACAAACCCCCATGACACGAGTTTACCTATATAACAAAAAGCTCATATATCCCTTAACTTAAAATACAATTTTAAAAAATTGAGTTGCTTAAATGAGTACTGTTTTCTGCTGTGATTATATATATTTTAAATATATGTATATATTTTAAACAATACAGAGATGAGAAATTGTTACACTAATATGAAACAATGTATATTAGAAGAAAATTTAATTTAAAAATATCAACATAATATAGAAGTAAATAGTAACAACTTAGATTATCTCTATTCAAAAATAATAATTATACATTGTAATACTATAATATTTCTGCTTTAATTATATATAAATCTATAGTATTACTCAAAACAATTATATTAATCTCTAACTTTGGCTAAAACCTCAACAAATATCTCACATTGGAAAATATTTAATTTCCAAAATTGCTGCTACTTAAATGATAACATGAATAAGAATGACATGCACTAAATATTAAACAGCTTTTCATAAAGATAGGAAAATAGTCATATGCAAATAAATATTCAAGTAAAACAGAATGCAGAAATTTGAGTATCCTTTATTAGTACTTAACTGGGTAGTTTGTAAAATTTATTTTCATCACTACTAAACATGAACTTTTAATTTCAAATTATTTATTTCATAGATAAACAAAGCAGCTTCCTGGAATTATAGTCAGTTTCCACTCCAAAGTTTTGAAGGAACAATTTTTTTTTAATGTAACATTTGTTTTTATTTAGAGAACGAGAATTCAGAAAACACAACTAACAAATTCCTATGTCTTTAAAATCACAGTAAATGTAAAGGCATGCATTTTACTATTTTTTTGTAGTCTATATGCTAAGTGAGAATGAAGAAAGAATTTTGAATTTGCAGCTTCATTCCTCTGAGCCAATCACAAAAACAGAGCATTTGTTCCCTGTGTAATTATATGTGCCATGTTTTATTTTCCATAAAAATACTTTTTCTAAAATTCAGTTTTCTGTTTTAGAGTTTTTTAATGAAATAACTGGAACTTTTATGTTTTACTTTTATTGTGATTTTGAGCAGATAAGTAGAACACTGATTTTAATGGTTATATGCATAACTGTCTTAAAAAAGATTTTTCAGAGGGTAGTGGTTGATGTTGGGTGTTGCTGAATATATGGTGGTGATTCTTTGTTTGCAGAGGACAGGGAAGACCTATTTATATATGGCAATTATCACAATATGTTTTAAACTTCAAAATCCACAAAAGAACTGATTTTTTTTCTTTAGGTACATTAAGCACATGTAATGTGTTTTCATAAAATTTAGTAGTTCAGAAAGATGTACAAAGAGAATGAGCTCTGGACTACTACAGTCTGAAGAGATTGGATTCATAGCAGCTATCATGTTGTCTCTATAACACATTGTATAATAGAAATAAAATATGAAACAGATGGATAACTAGAAATTGAAGCCATTTTTCTTCTGTAAAGCCCCTATTTCCAACTAAGATTACATTCTGAGGTACTGTGGGTTAGGACTTCAGTATATCTTTCTTGGGGTACAAAATTCAACCCATAACAACCAATAAAGAGGAATCCAATGCAGTAATATTCTATATTTGGAAGGGGATGAATAGAAAAGTTTTTTTAATTGACTGAAATATATTAATGTTTTAGAATTTGTCCATGGAGCAGAAGACAGAGAAAGAAACACTAGGTGCAGATTAAATAAGTTACTAAATATGTTAGTAATGTTATTTTCAATTTAAAAATAATAGAACGAAATGAGTAAATTACTTCTAGTACACTATTTTATGGTTACTGTCTTTCAAAACTAAGAGGCTATGAGTGATGAGGCTGAAAATTTTAAAAATCTCATAGTTAATTTGAATTCATTCTTGTCACAAGAAAAAGAAAGCAAATGTATAAAAATATATGAAAATAAAACTTACATATTATTTGTATTTTAAGGCAAATGCCTGCCTTTCACTTGTACAGATATTTGCAAACAAAAATGAAAACTTTTGGTTTATACTGATATCTGCATATCAGAACACATTCAGTCACGACATATTAAAATATTTCTGGAGACATAAAAAATTATTAAACTTCCCAAAAATATGGAATGCTAAGTCATGAAACACTAAGGGTTTCCAGAGATTGATAGATATTGCTATAAATTATAAATTCCTATTAGGCTGAATCTTCAAAAAAAGAAAAGCAAGACCAATGCCACTAAAAATGCTTGATCTCATTAAACTAAGGATCTATTCTCTGTAATTGAAAGTTGGCCTTCATTCCTTCTACAACCTGGCTCATAAAAAATTCATACCAACAAAATTGTTGGACAACTCATTCTTTCTGCTGGTAGGAGTTCAGTAATATCTGCTTCTCTTTAAATTGCAATTTCACACCTTTTCAAAGATGTTTGTATCATGGGTTTGTGGGAAGGTGGGATGAAACAGAGCAAGAACAAAAAGAAATAAAAAAGCAAATGCACAGCAGGAGAAACAGAGCACAACCTAGAGCATGGCATACATTGCAGAACCCAGAGCCTGGACTCCAGTGCCAAGTAATTCCAGATTTCAATTCAGATTTAATCATTCATAGATTTAATCTAAGTACACATCAGTTTTCTTTTCTGGAACATGGAGTTAATAACACTTATTCCATAGAGTTGTCCCACGAAACAAATGAGATTATGCATATGAGATATTTAGTATAATCCTTGGCATATAATAAGCATTTAGTAATTGCAGCTAATTTGTGTCACTCAAAGTATAGACATCAGATGATATAAATTTCAAGCCAAAACAAATAAGTGGAAAAAAACAAATTTTGTTTAAAATGATACAATTATTTAAGCAAGTTATATTTCAAAGTTAAACTTTGAAAATCTCTCTAATAAATATTAGAAAGCAATAATTTGACATTGACAATATTTACCCAAAACCCCATTTATATAAATAAAACATCATAAGTAGAAGAGGGGCAGGGAAAAAAATGCAATACATTTTTTTTATGCAAGTCTTTATCTTGCATTCAAAGAAGAAAAATTTATTCTTTTAATGATTGTGACAACCAGAAAATGTATTTACATAATGATAAAATTAATACATTTAGAATTCTTGACTATTTGGTTACATGATTATTATTAGCTAACCAGAATTAGATAACTCTAGTTATCTATCTCTCTCCTGCCTATACATTCATATGATTTAAACAAGATAAAATTGATTAAATTGATCACTTTTAGAAATATGAGTATCTTCATTAAGCTGGGCATTTTGTGACATTTCTCTTATATAGCATATAATAATTTGGTTAGAACTGTATTAGAAGAAATTAACAACTTTCACTTTGAAACAACTTTTTGCAAAGTAGTTGAATAGAAAATAATTAAGGGCTAAATTTCTGATGTGCCTCAGGAAAATTTAAGAGGCTATTACTTGGACATCCTTTTGAACTTTCAAGTCAATGAAGTACCTAAAATTTTGAACTCTGGGTTTCTACTCCTACAAATGATGAGTGATTTTTAGAGTACCCGAAAATTTTCTGTATATCAGGTATTATTAGTAGAAATAAAGAATGCAAGCTTAACTAGTTCCTTTCATGAATTATCATAGATAAATTACATTTATTATTGTAATAGAATTAAGCAGTAATTCAAAATTATACCTGAGTAGCAAGTGTTCTAGAATAGCATCATTTTTTGAAATAAAAGCTTTCTCCGCTTTGGTCATTATTTGAAGTTTTGAAATTTTATAACTTATATTATGTACCCTATAAACTGCCAAATTGAAAACTAACAGCAATATTACTAATTACATTAAGGCAGGGCATAATAGTCATGATAAAAAAATTACACAACTTTTAAGGACAGCAGTCCATGATAGAAAAAAATAATAGGTAGAGTTTAGCTAGCATAGAAACTCACATTGAATTTCACAAAGTCCTATTGAGTAACATTCTTTTGTATGTAACAAAACACTACATGTTTAGCATTCTAAAAATAAATGGTAAGCTTACAAAATAAGTAATAACCACAAATTATATGTATGATACTTGAAATACAGCTTACAATTTAAAAATGAATTCTGACACATAACATTCAAATTCATTATCCTTTTTTGTAGATAGATTTAAATATGTTCTGAGATACATGTCCTCTTCACTATTTAAACAATTTTGCTTTTCCCCGGATTTGTAAATTATAATAAGTCCTTCATTTTGTTTACTTGTCACAACTTGTTCAGAGATATTCAAAATATAGTACTTAGTAAATACATGATTTAAGAAGAAAATCAATAATTTTGACAGAATTTTCTTACGTTTGTTTATTCTTTTTTCCTTAATTTTTACGAGTTTACATTTCTAAAAAAGTAATTTATTGTCTGATTAAGGAAGGAATAATAGCCTTTTAATTGTTCTTCTTGTTTTCATTTTTGTCACCCATCAGTCCATTCTCCAGACAGGATCCAAAGGGATTCTTTCAATAAAGTCGAAGCTCTGTATTGAAGTGTGCAGGGGTCTCTGGGCTCAGACTCCTCATTAGCCTACACCACATGTTTGTTAGATGTACTTTGCTTACATTCACTTTCTAACCCTTGATCAGGAGAGACTTTTTTCTACCCCGGGGACTTTGTACAACGTCTTGTATCTACATCGAACATTCTTTTCCCAGATTTTCACAGCATGGCTGTTTCTTGTCACTTGGCCTCAACTCCTGACTCCCATTATAAAGTACATCCCTCAGCTTAGGTCTCTCATTCAGCTTTCTCACATTAGTATATTAATTTTTTCTCATAGAAATTATCACTGTAAGAAGTTATTAATTTATATTAATCTCTATCTCCACCAGAATAAAAGCACCGTAAGACAGTGACTAGTTTGCTCTTTGGACCCACATCAGAGACAGTCTTTGACATCTGTAAACCACTACAAAATTTAGGACAAATTAATGACAGTGAACAAGGAAAGGAAAAATTGGAGTGGGAATTAGATCTATGTACATATTAACTCTGTGAATGAGAAGCTAAGGAAAATAATTTAGTCTTGCTTGATTTCTTTTTGCTCACTATTAAAATGAGGATTTTTAATTAAGCAAATTTGAAAGTCTCTTCTTTAAGGAGTCTCCACACTCTTTTCCGTAGTGGTTGTACTAGTTTATATTCCCACCAGCAGTCTAGAAGTGTTCCCTTTTCACTGCATCCATGCCAACATCTATTATTTTTTATTTTTTTTCATTATAGCCATTCTTGCAGGAATAAGCTCATCTCTCTAAAATTTTAATACTAGACAATTTTAAGTTGGTAATAATGCTATCAGACAAAGTATAGACTTTAGTCACGTATCTTTTTTTCTGTAGAAGGTGGTTGGATAATATAAAAGTAGTATAAAATGTCTTACAAAAAAAGGGAAATTATCATGTCATATATCTAAGGCGGAAGCACAATGCTCACTCAGAGAATTTTTTGATGAAAATGTGCTAGTTAAGTAATATTTCACCGATAATGAATTTAAGTGATGGTCATTAAATATTCTGCCCCTTTACAGATAGGATGTCTAATTTAAATATATGGATTTGTTGAGTAGGTTAATAAAAATCTTCCTTTGTTTTCTATTAACTTTCTCTACCTCTTATACCTACTATTAAGTCAAATCTTTTCTTTTTTGATTGAACATAGAGAAAGAATTTATTTTAGGACAACTTATAAAGTATCGTAGACGTGATTTTTAACGAAAGGAGAAAAGCATAATCCGAAAATGTAGAGATAAATGAAGGAAGTTCTCTGGAGTTCTCCTCTATAAAAAACTTGATTATGGATGAAGGATATAGATGAGATCTACCCTATGGATGTTCCAAGTTTATAGATTTCTTTTCTTCCCTTTTATTTTTAGTTTACATTTAATAATTGTACATATTTATGGAATATAAAAGGATAATTCAATACATGTACACAATGCATACATCTCAAATGTTTATTATTTCTTTGTGTTGGGAACATTCAAAATCCTTTTTTCCAGCTTTTTGAAAATTATTGTTAACTATATACACCCTACAGTGCTATAGTGTACTAGAGAGTATTCTTATCTAGCTATAATGTTGTATCCGTTAACTAACCTCTCTCTATTTTCTTCTCCCTAAGACCTTTCTAGCTTCTAGTAATATTTTTTCTGCTCTCTATTTCTGAGCTCAGCTATTTTTTTAGCTCCAACATATAAGTGAAAATATGTGGTATTTATCTTGCTGTACCTTGACTTATTTCACTTAACATAGTGTCCTACATGCTTATCCATGTTTCTGGGAATGACAAGATTTCATTTTTTATAGCTCAATAATATTTCATTATATATAATCACATTTTCTTTATACAATTATCTGTTGATGGGCATTTAGGTATATTTTGTATCTTAGCTATTGTGAATAGTGCCGCAATAAATATGGAGGGTACAGGCATATATTTGATATACTGATTTCTTTTCTTTTGAATAAATACAAAATAGTGGGAACCTGAGTCTTTCGGCAGTTCTATTTTTAGTTTGAGAGAACTCCATACTGTTTCTATAATGAATGTATTAATTTCTATGTCCACTAACAATGTATAACAACCACCTTTACTCCACATCCTTGCCAGCATTTGCTAGTTTTCATGTTCTTAATAATCATTCTAACTGGGATGAGAGGTAGAATCTCATTTTGATTTTGATTTGCATTTCCCTGATGATTAGTGATGTTGAATTTTTTCTTCATCTGTTTATTGGTCATTTGTATGTCTTTCTATGAGAAATGTCTATTTATATTCTTTGCCCATTTTGTAATCAATTTTTTTTGATGTTGAGTTGTTTGAGTTCCTAGTATATTCTGAACAGAAATCCATTGTCAGAGGAATAATAATTTACAAATATCTTCTCCTATTCTGCAGATTGTCTCTTCATTCTGTTGGCTGCTTCCTTTGCTGTGCAGAATGCTTTAAGTTTGATATAATCCCATTTGTCTATTTGTGTTTCTGTTGTTTGTACTTTCAAAGACTTATGCATGAAATATTTGCCTAGACTGATGTCCTGAAGCATTTCCCCTATGGAAGTATTTTTATAGTTTCAGGTCATAAATTTAAGTATTTAATTCATTTTGAGTTGATTTATGTATACAGTGAGAGATAAGAAGTTAGTTTATTCTTCTGCATATTGATGTTTAGTTTTGCCCACATAATTTATTGAAGAATGTCTTTTTCTCAATGCATACTTTTGGCAAATTTGTCAAAAATCAATTGCCTCTAAATACCTGAATTTATTTCTGGGTACTCTGCTCTGTTTCATTGGTCTGTGCATCTGTTTGCATACCAATACCATGCTGTTTTGGTTAAGATAGATTTGTATATATTTTGAGGTGAAGTAGTGTAATGTGTCCTGCTTTGCTATTTTGCTCAGGATTGCTTTGTCTATTCTGAGTCTTTTTTGATTCCATATAAATTTTAGGGCTATTTTTTTCTACCTCTGTGAGGAATGTCATTGGTATTTTAAGAGAGATTCTGCTGACCTTGTAGATTGCTTTGTGTAGTATGATTATCTTAACAATGTAATTCTTCCAATTCATAAGCATGATATGCCTGTTTATTTTAGGGGTTCTCTTCAATTTTTTTCATTGGTGGTTTTGAGTTTTATTGTAGAGATTTTCATTCACCTCCTCAGTTCAATTTATTCCTAAGTATTTTTTTCATAGCTACTATAAATGGGATCACTTTTTTTATTTATTTTTCTGGTAGTTTGTTATTGGAATATAGGAGTACTGATGATTTGTGTGTACTGATACTGTATCCTGCGATTTTACTGAATTTATTTCTCAGTTTTAAGAGGATTTTTTTGTTGTTTTTTGGTAGAGTCTTTAGGCTTTTCTATGTATATAAGATTATATCATATGCAAATAGAAATAATTTGACTTCTTATTTTTCGATATGTATGCCATTTATTTATTTATATTGCCTAATTGCTTTGTCTAAAATTTTCAGTACCGTGCTGAATAACTGTTGTGATATTAGGTATCCTAATCTTGCTTCATTTCTCAGAGGAAAGGCTTTTAAGCTTTTCCCCATTCTCTCTCCGTTCGTCTGCATCTCGTTATTGGGCCGTGAGAACAAGCAGCCCGACCCTCGGTTTGGTCCGGGAACATAGTCATGGCTTAGATCACTGCAGTGGAACAGAAAAGGCTAACTATAATGATAGTTAAATATAGATCTGAAGCTGCTTCACTTGAAATGCCTCTGAACTAGCTGATATGTAGGACAATCCTTTACATGTTCTAGATTGTAAAATAAGATAAGAAAAGAAAAATAGCTCAGAGCAGTCTGAGCTATGAGGTGTGCAAATTTTATCGGGCCCAGAGTGAAATAAGTGTGGGACTTCAATCATGATCTCTACACCTACGCCTGGGGGCAATTGTTTAAAGTCATCTAGAAATCCTCTCCACTGACTGCCCTGTGGACTCAGAAACTGAGTTTCCAACTATTAGCCTTTGTTTTTGTTTATTTTCATAGAAATGTCCCCTCATTAAATGCCTGATGGCTAGTACCATCTAGCAGATACCCCCTACTACCAAGTCCCAACTGAGGATTCTGCTGGCTTTAACTGAATGAGAAAAGGGACTTAGATTGTTCAAAGCGGGGAACTGACTCGATTTTGATCACTCCATTTCCCCTCTTGACTCTACATGCCCTGGGGACATTTTGGTCTGAGAGCCCTTCTCTCACCTCAAGAATCAGATTCAGAATCAAAGGCTGAGCTTGTTCACGGCAGCAAAGCTGATGGCCCATATATCTGGGGTACTTCCTTCTTCTCTGCACCACCCCTGTTCAACTTTCTTCTGAGGGAAACTTCAGCACCTTTCAGTCATGTGTCTGCTGGGAGGTATACGGAGGCTTGATTCCGAAGCCCTTCCAGGAAGACAGGAAAGCTTCTTCCTAGGCCTGCTGGGATGGTCTGTCTGCCCTCCTCGAGCTTGGCTGGGTCTTGACAGACAGTGTGGATCTTAATTTAAAAAAAAAATCTATCCCTTTATTTATTTTCATAATCTTTTGTTAAAAAAAGAGTAAGGTGTTTGTTTTTACATTTTTATTGCTCTGTAGAAAGAGAATGAGGATCTAGGATTCCCCTGGAAGAAGCAGGGGCATTCCTTCTCTGATTGGTGCCCTCAACTGGACACACACATGCACACACAAGTACATGCACATACGTGTGCAGATACACACACATGCACACACACCTGTGGGATATGATGAGGTTTCTCTTCAAATAATCTGATCAATCTTTTATTCTTTAATTCATAGTACCTCCCCTCCTTTCTCCTTTTTCTTCTGTTTTCCTTTCTGCCTTTGTTAGATGCCCAGGCACACCACAGTACTAGGCGTTATCAGTACCACCAGCTCACATTCCTTTCCTTATTTGGAAAGAGGACTAACTTCCTAGCTCATTACAGACACCCCTTCCCCTTCGTCTCCATTTTTTTTTTTTTTACTTGCCCACCTTATCTAAAAAAATCAAATCTTTAGCCAACTGGGATTAGTTTAGATTGTACGACCCGACCCCAGCCAGTGGAAAAAGGTACAGGGGCAGGACTTGTGTCAGGAATAAAGGCTCTCCTGCCTCTTTGTTCAGGTGTGCTCTCATGGCGACCGGCCAAGGAGGCACCCCTCTGCACAGAAGTAAAATTGCTTTGCTAAGAATCCTTCGTTCGAGTGTTCAGTTTCCTTAGGATTTTGAGCGTTGTTCCTAACACACCCTTGAAACCCCCCACACTCACACAGTTACCTACACGGAGGGCACATACCCCCACACCCGAACACATATATACACACACGCGTGTTCTTGTCTGGCTTTCACATCTTGGGCTACAGAGATTGGAGGAGATCAGGAGAGGAGACTGGGGAGCCAAGGGAGAGTATGGCAGCAGAGGAGAGGTGTCCATTAGGAGAAGAAGCCACACTTCCCAGGAGACCAGGGAACTCCCTTTCCTGCTGCGACTTTCTAGAATCTTACATTTCTCTTCCTGGACTTGGGAATCGATTCTCCAATAATTAAACCAGACGGACTCCAAGTTTATGTCTTTCTGGGGGTTGAATTCCTGTGGAGTCTTGAGCTGAACACATGAGTTCTCTGTGGCCCTTCTGGACTCTTCTTGCCTTCAGTGATAAGGGAAGAATGAGGTACACACTTGGGGTTCAGATTTGTATGGAGACAAAATTTATTAGAACAGGAGGCAAAAAAACAAACAAAAAATGGAGGGGATCAGTGCGGGAAAGAACCACACATGCTGATGTCCCCCGAACACTTACAGAACTATCCCTTGTTCTTCCTCATCTCTAGTCATGAAAGTGGCGGATTTGTTTAATCAGTTATTTCCGATCTCTTTATACTCTCGGGGAATATAAGGGGTCAGCAGACTTCCGCTGAAGCCACCTCACAGCTGGGGTGTGCAAGTGTGTGGTGACCACATTTGTCTTTTTGTGGCTATTGAGATGAGGTTTTATTACTAATGACTTACTCATCCTCCCTGCAGACGTAGGGCTTCTCCCCTGTGTGTGTCCTCTGGTGATAGCAGAGGCTTGACCTATCGCTAAAGCCCCGCCCACACTCCCTGCAGACGTAGGGCTTCTCCCCTGTGTGTGTCCTCTGGTGTCTGAGGAGGTGTGACTTATTGCGAAAGCCCCGCCCACACTCCCTGCAGACATAGGGCTTCTCCCCTGTGTGTGTCCTCTGGTGTCTGAGGAGGTGTGACTTATTGCTAAAGCCCCGCCCACACTCCCTGCAGACATAGGGCTTCTCCCCTGTGTGTGTCCTCTGGTGACTGAGGAGGTTTGACTTATCTCTAAAGCCCCGCCCACACTCCCTGCAGACATAGGGCTTCTCCCCTGTGTGTGTCCTCTGGTGTCTGAGGAGGTGTGACTTATCGCGAAAGCCCCGCCCACACTCCCTGCAGACATAGGGCTTCTCCCCTGTGTGTGTCCTCTGGTGTCTGAGGAGGTGTGACTTATTGCTAAAGCCCCGCCCACACTCCCTGCAGACATAGGGCTTCTCCCCTGTGTGTGTCCTCTGGTGAGTGAGGAGGACTGACTGCCAGCTAAAGCCCCGCCCACACTCCCTGCAGACATAGGGCTTCTCCCCTGTGTGTGTCCTCTGGTGAGTGAGGAGGACTGACTGCCAGCTAAAGCCCCGCCCACACTCCCTGCAGACATAGGGCTTCTCCCCTGTGTGTCTCCTCTGGTGAGTGAGGAGGACTGACTGCCGGCTAAAGCCCCGCCCACACTCCCTGCAGACATAGGGCTTCTCCCCTGTGTGTCTCCTCTGGTGAGTGAGGAGGACTGACTGCCGGCTAAAGCCCCGCCCACACTCCCTGCAGACATAGGGCTTCTCCCCTGTGTGTGTCCTCTGGTGAGTGAGGAGGACTGACTGCCAGCTAAAGCCCCGCCCACACTCCCTGCAGACATAGGGCTTCTCCCCTGTGTGTATCCTCTGGTGAATGAGGAGGTGTGACTTCCAGCTAAAGCCCCGCCCACACTCCCTGCAGACGTAGAGCTTCTCCCCTGTATGTGTCCTTTGGTGTGTAATAACATCTGATTTAACACTGAAACCTTGTCCACACTCTCCATACTTGACTTTTGCAATTCTTGAGATTCCTACCCCCACAAATAATTTGCCTGTGTTCCCTGGATTCACTTTCTGGCCTGTTCTGGACTCTTCTTCCATTATTCTTTTTCCCACTCTACAGCTCCCCATTTGTCCTTTGGGTGGGCTAGAAAAGGCCCTTGAAATCTCCCTCTGCCATGTCCTTTTATTCAAGAGTTTGGACCTTTCTTTGATCTCTTGACCTTTGGTTTTGTCATTACGGCTGTGTGGATCTGGATATTGCTGCTCCTGATTCTGATCCCCTGGGCAGGGATTCTCTGGTTGGAGGAGTTTTCTTGCAGATGGTCCTGGGAAGTTCTGAGAGGAGTGATTGCGTTCTACATGTTGACTGAGAAATTTCTGACTTGAAAAGGCCAGACAGCATGAGGGACATGGATGGATCTCTGGCTTTGGTTCTGAAAGAGGAAGTTTTTGGTCAGGGTAGATGTTTTGTTCAGGCCTTACCACATATGAAGGTATGAAGATCAAATGAAGAAACAATCATTCTTCATATGTTAACAATGCAAGCTCTTTCCCACCAAGTGCTGGATGGACCTTTACAGTCCATTTTTCCATTCCACTTTTATTCACTACATCTTAAAAAATCCAGAAATCCCACATCTTGGTCCTTTTCTACATATCTGCCAGACTAGGTAACCTCAACCAGCATCAGGGCAGTGTCATTCCTTACATAGATGGAACTGCAGTGACCTTTTCCCCACACTGCAGGTATTTTCCAAGTCCTATAAAGCCTTCCCTGATCACCCTCTGCCACATCCTCCCTCCCTGGTCCCTGGGCACTTTTGCTGACATGAGACCTTCAGCTATTTTATTCTATTGAGAAATAACACTCTTGATGACTTAGGTGAGATTGTCCTTAGTGATTTCCTAAGAGGGGAAAAGGATCTATTAAGAGCACTCAGGCTGGAGATCCACAAATGTGGTTAAAGAGAAGATGTGTGAGCAAATCTGAATTTGAGTCTCCTCATTCAAAAGGACATATTTAATTGAGGACTGTTATGTGCCTGGTTCTCCATCAGGAAGTGGGATTCAGGTTGGCCAACACAGAGTGGTCCAGGTCCCACTGACTAAAGGACTCTGGGTCCTGCTACCCCAACTAGGTGCATAGATTCCATTTCAGATTCCACAAATCATAAAATGAGAATATGTTCTCTCTCAGGCTGCCCATCAAGTATTCATTTTTGAGATATTTCATTCAGTCTGAGCCCATTTCAAATACAATAGGAAGTCTTGTGTCAAAATATATCCCTACTCAGACTTACCTCCGTGCTCCCCACCTTCATCCTGCCCACCATTCTCTCTCATCTGGAAACTGGAGCAGCTCTGAGGGGATGACCCACTGGAGACTGTTTTCCAAAAATGAACCAAAGCTGAATTCTTTCTGGCCGTAGGACCATTGCACTAGCTGCGCCCTGTGCCTGGAACCCTTGGCCCACAGGCACTTGCACTTCTCAAATGCTGTCTCCTAAGAGAAATCTTCCCTGACAATCCGCTGCAACACTCTACTCTCACCTCACACGGATCCCCAGGTATTCTTTCTGGATTCATTTACTTCAAAGCACTAATCACTGTCTGATATTACACATATGTCTGTATGTAATCATATGGTTCCCTAATTCACATGTCAAGAGCAGTTTTTCTGATTGTCTTGATCAATCTATATTTACACTTCCTGCAACATGGTCTGGCACTGAGTAGGAATTCACATGACAGCTAATTGAGGTAATTAATGAATGAATAACAACACATGCATATCATTAGGAAATATCAAGGAAATGCCAGAAGAAACTACCTTGTTGGGAGAGCTGGTAGGTGTTTGAGAACTTGATTTTTGTCTTTAAGTCTTTCAGCACTATATGCTGTTATATACTTTGTGCATGAAGTACTTAGAATATAAAATCAGAACAAAGATTTAAAAATATGAAAATTGTTCCAAAGAGGCAAAGGTATATAACATGAATGTTTAATTTTGGAAGCCACTGATTTGAAATCTTACTGACTTTAGATGGCATTTTACTGTACTTAAGAGTTAAACCATGAAAATTCTCTAGGATAATTCTTTCTTTCCTGTCCTTTTAAAAGAGTAATAGTGATGCCTACCTCTCCCTGCCATGAGCTCTTTCTTCCACTTGCTGCCCCACTTGATGCCCAGTTCCTGGCCGTATTCATCCCCATACCAGACCAGCAGTTCACAGCCTGGCCTAATGACTCGGCAGGTTCTATAGAAGATCTGCCTGTGGTACTGGAAGGCCACCAGGTTCTGCTCTTCATCATCCCGGGCACAGTTCACATACCTGGGGTCAAGGCAGGCAAAGGGAAAGAAAAGAGGCAGTGAGTTCCCAGTATCAGATCCAGGTATGGCCCATCACCTGCTGGTCTAGGCCTCCATGGTCTAGTGCTGACCACTCCCCCACCACTCCTCCGGGAACCTTCTGCTCATTCCTAAATCTCTTTCACAATGTCATATGAACTTGCACTTCTGACTACAGTGTTCATCCTGCCTAGAATGTTTCCCTGCCATGCCTAATCAACCATTTTTTCAAAGCCCAACTCCAGACTTACCTCCACCTTGACTGGCCATAAAACACATTGACTTCTAGCTTCTCTAAACTCTAAATTAATTCTGTTTTATACCACAGAACTTGGTGCTTGATCATGTACTCTGCTTCTAGATTAGTGCACATCATTCTACACTCAGCCCAAGTCCATCTTTCTTTGACAGACCTTCCTCTAATCACCCTACAGTTCATTCAGGTGCCATTCACCTGACTTCCCCAGATTCCCAGAGAAACTTAGAAGTCTCTTTCTCTTGGCCCAATAACATAGAACAGTAATAGTTGATTCATTTTTCTATTCTCTGATAGAACGAGAGCCCATTGTGGAAAGGGGCTGAGTCATCCTGCAGCTCACTTCTGTTCAAGTAGTGAACCTCACTTCCTAACCTGGAACATACAAAGTGCTTAATAAACGTGGATTACATAAATTAAAGCATGAATTCAGAGTCCCCCGTGAATCTAGGCTTCTCAAGGTTTATCTTGGTGCCTCAATTTTGTCTAGCATACATATTTATGTTTTGATACCAATAAATCATAATATCTATATTTTTATTTATTATTTCTAAATGTTGATGGTATAAAACAGCATTGTATGGAGAAAAATAGAAATAGGGAATGTGAAAATCATTGAGGGAGGCATAATGATAAGGAAGGAAATCCAGCTTTGTGAGAGATGAAGGTTCTCTCTGCAACTCAGAGAGCTACTGGCCTTACCTCATCCAGTTGGCCCAGGATTTATCTTTTCCATCCACATACTCATAGCAGTTTCTCCCCTTGGTGATCTGAGTTTCAGAAAAACAAGGCAAAGGCTTTTTAGAGGGTAAAAATCAGAAGAATTATTTTACTCCACTGTCGTCAATGGCCTTTGGGCCTGCATAGCTTCAGCTGCCAATTGAGACCACATGGTATGCACCTTAGTCATCATCTATCTACACATCTGAGTTGGTTTGTCCAATCAGAGCAGAAGCTCCACAGGGAGGATGCACTTCTTTGTCTTTGTACCACTCTGCTCCCATGTAACCTCTGATCTCTAAATAGGAGTTCCGTGTTCATGCAAAGAACCTTGAGTACACAGAGCTAACCATGTTATCCTTACCTATATACTAACATGTAGAAGATTATGCCCCACCAAAGGCACAGAAGGGATGTGGGAAGACAGAACAGGGGAAATGGCAGGCTCTTCTTACCAGCCAGGAGTATCCATTGTTGGCTGCCTCTTCGTCTTCTGTAATTCGGCCCTCATAAGGGCCAAAGTGCAGACCCAGCGGCAGATCAGATGCCTCATTCCATACTCCAAGCCCAGCCTGAGGGATGCCTGATGGCCCAATTCTCAGCCCTGGGGGCAGACTGAGGGCTGAACGGTTGGGGTGCCCCTTGTCCACTGCACTGTCCTTTACAAATGTAGGGGGCCCATGGGCAGCACAGCTGTCAATGAAGAAGTTCTGACACATCTCACAATCTGGAAGTGAGGGAAGCAGAGATTAGGAAAGTTGTAATGCATGTTCCTTGATATAAGAGCTTCAGAAAGAGCTTGGCATTCACATTATTTAGCCCTAATCCTGTACTCTAATTCATTAGAGTAAGGGAATGATTTGTGGGCCAAATGATGAAATTATTGCACCAGGACATAACAGCAAGCTGTGTGAGTGGCCAAAAGTGTCACTTACAGAGGTAATCATCATCCTGCGGCTCGCTGACCTCTTTGTATGCATGACCCTTTCTTTCTCGCAGGCTATACATCTTTCTTTCAGTCTCCTTCTTCCTGAGTTCTAGGTTGGAGAAGAGTAGACGGGTAAAATTGGGAATCTGGGGTGTTTGTCCTTGTTTCATAAGAAAATGTGAAATCTACCATCAAATTGGCATCTACCTTTCTACATACTCTAGTGTCCCCCTCTTTAACTACTGCTTCAGAGAGACTTAGACCCCACACCCACACTGACTGCAGATGCCTATTTAATATTAGTTTCTGGCTGTTCTCATTATACCATTAACCTCCCAACATTTCTACTTACAAAATGGTTCATTCATGCATTTATTCATTTGGAAGATATTTCTTGAGGTCACATTACATCTTAGGCATTGAACAAAGGCCTGGACATACAACACTAAGATAAAGTATGATCTCTATAGGGGATCTTCTACAAACTAGTAGACATGTGATGGAAGAGGAAATGTAGAAATGCACAAAAGAATATCTATTATCAGAGAGGTACTTATTGGACACCTTGCATGTATGGGTTCATTTATATTTAATTTAATGCTTTCAAACAATGTACTTGGTCTATATATACTTGGTCTCATTTTACAGATTACCATTCAGGAGCTCAGAGAATTTATAAGATTTGCCCAAGGCCCCAGTGCTTCTATGTAGATTATAACCCAAGTGAATGACTTCAAAGTTAATGTTCTTACATGCTATTCAATACTGTATCCAAGGCTGGACATGGTGGCTCAAGCCTGTAATCCCAGCATTTTGGGAGGCTGAAGTGAGCAGATCTCTTGAGGCCAGGAGTTTGAGACCAGCCTGGTCAACAAGGTGAAACCCTGTCTCTACTAAAAATACAAAAATCAGCCGGGCACAGTGGCGCACGCCTATAATCCCAGCTACTCGGGTGACTGAGGCAAGAAAACATCTATTTTCATGGAGGCAGAGGTTGCAGTGAACCGAGATTGCGCCACTGCACTCCAGCCTGGGCAACAGAGTGAGACTCTGTCTCAGTGAACAAATAAATAAATAATTTTAACAAAATACTGCATCTACCTTCTGGTCTCACAGTTGAGTCCAGCTTAAGCCCAGGCCTATGCAAAGTCCACCCCACATAGGTAGACCATACTCATCAACCTTTCTAGAGGACATAGAGGGACTAAAGTCCCCGCAAATATTTTTTCTTACCCAGTTTTAGTCTTGAGTGCTGTCCAGAGGTACTTGCTTCTCCAGAAGGGGACACTGGTTTCTGAGCCTGCTCTGAGCCACTTGCATTCAGTAAATTTGCTGTTCTTGACAATTCTTTCAAACTAGATTCATTACTGAATGACGCCTTGGGCATTCCCTTTAATGTGAGAGTCACATATTAAAAGACAACACGAATTTCTTTAGTTCTTTACGGCTTGCAACATGTTTTCATATGCATGACTCTAGTTAATGTTCAAACCTTGAAAATACCTAGAGTGTCTAAATACTAGAGGGAAAAGAGAAGGTCTAAGTGAGTAGTGAATCTGGGACTCTAACCCATGTCTTAAGGCTCTTTCCTTCAACTTTCTCTAAAATGTTCTATGTAAGTCAAAGGGAAGGAGGAGGAATACTTGGGAAGACTAGCTGGAGAATCAACAAGATCTGTGAAAGAAGGGGGTAAGGGCTTACAAAGAGAAGGAGGGAATCTTCCATAAACTAGTAGACTTTTGATAGAAGGGGAAATGTAGAGAAGCACAGAGGGACAAAGCACTTCTGGAAAATGAGGTAATAGAGCAGTAAGATTGGGAACAGAACAAAGAGACGATTGGCAAAAATATATCTAGACAACCAAGAAAATGATGTCAAAGTTGCATGTTGCCATATCCTGGAAAGAATATTTGGCTTTGGAATTAGATTAATTAGTTCCTGTACCACTTCTGCTTGTCTGCTTGAATAAGGGTGTATTGTTAGCTAATTCTCTTTAGTTTCCTGATCCAGAAATTGGCATACATGCTTTTTTTTTTTTTTTTTTTTTTGAGAAGGAGTCTCGCTCTGTTGCCTAGGCTGAAGTGCAGTGGCACGATATCAGCTCACTGCAGCCTCCACCTCCCAAGTTCAAGAGATTCTTCTACCTCAGCCTCCCGAGAAGCTAGGATTACAGGCATGTGCCACCATACCCAGCTAATTTTTGTATATTTATTAGAGACGGGGTTTCACTAGGTTGGCCAGGATGGTCTCGAACTCCTCACCTCAAGTGATCCACCCACCTCAACCTCCCAAAGTGCTGGGATTATAGGCATGAGCCCCCACACTCAGACCATCAGACCATGCTAATTCTTTTTTTTTTTTATTTTTTTGAGAGGGAGTCTCACTTTGTTGCCTAAGCTGGAGTGCAGTGGCACGATCTCAGCTCACTGCAGCCTTCACCTCCCGGGTTCAAGCGATTCTCCTGCTTCAGGCTCCTGAGTAGTTGGGATTACAGGTGTCCACCACCATGCCCAGCTGATTTTTGTAGTTTTAGTAGAGATGGGGTTTCACCATGTTGGCCAGGCTGGTCTCGAACTCCTGACTTCGGGTGATCTGCCCACCTCCACCTCTCAAAGTGCTGGGATTACAGGTGTAAGCCACTGCCCCTGGCGCTAATTCTTAATATTGTAGTGAACATGAAAGATAATAATGTTCACCAAAGTGTTTTTTGAACTACTTAATACAGTATGAATGTGAGATTAATAATTTTTCTCACCAGGTGCAGTGGCTCACACCTGTAATCCCAGCACTTTGGGAGGCCAAGGCAGGCGGATCACCTCAGGTCAGGAGTTTTGAGACCAGTCTAGCCAACCCCATATCTACAAAAAATACAAAAAACTAGCCAGGTGTGGTGGCGGGTGCCTGTAATCCCAGCTACTTGGGAGGCTGAGGCAGGAGAACAACTTGAACCCAGGAGGGGGAGGTTAAAGTGAGCCGAGATCACTCCACTGCACTCCAGCCTGGGTGACAAGAGTGAAACTCTGTCTCAACAAAAGAAAAGAATTTTTCTCACAGACTGGGTGCAATGGCTCACATATGTAATCCCAGCACTTTGGGAGGCCAAGGTGGGAGGATGGCTTGAGCCCAGTAGTTCAAGACCAGCCTGAGCTACATGGCAAAACCCTGTCTCTACAAAAAACGTAAAAATCAGCTGGGCATGGTGGTGCATGCCTATGGTCCCAGCTACTCAGGAGGCTGAGGCAGGAGGATCGCACTAATCTAGGAGATGGAGGCTGCAGTAAGCCGAGATTGAGTCATTGCACTCCAGCCTGGGCGAAAGAGCCAGACTCTGTCTCAAATCACCCCACCACCACCCAGAAAAATAACAAACAAATGAAAATTATCTCATAGTCCTGATAACATCTCTACAGTTGAAATCTAACTCAAAGATATTTTCAGCATTCCTTGACCCTGTTACTTATAGTTTAATTCATAAACTTGGAATCAGTCATTCAGAAAACACTAAGGAGGCTCTCAGAGGCCCTGATCTGGGCTTGGGAGTTCTGAGAAGAATCAGATATGGACCAGACTCCTGAAGAGCTCACAATGAAGAGGCAGCAGGCAGGCTAAACAAATAATTCCAAACAACATGACAGTTCCCTAATTGGAGCCCAGAGGAAGGAGCTGTTACTGCCTTCTGTAGGAATGAGAATTTGAAATCAGTTCCAGAAGAATATATTTTTACTTAATAGGATGTAACCTATATGAAGTCTTAAACCATTTTCTTATTTGTTGTTTCTCAGTCTTCAAAGCTGAAACTCCTCAGGGCTGGAAGCTGCTTCCTCTGATCAGAATGGGTCCCTTATGAGGGTAGGGACCCTATCTCCTTCTGGGACCAAACACAGTATGAACTGTCTATTTACTTGGAAGCTTCCCTTAATCAGAGTGTTTCAGTGCAAATCTCACTTTACCATAACAGAGAAAAACTGAGGTTAAAAAGTCAGTTGGACGAATGATGTAACACATATGGGTAAGACAGCATAAACTTTATAAAACTATGAAACTTTTAATGATCTTGTGTTAATGATCTTGTAAGTGCTTTAGAGAAGGAGTTTTGGATTAGACTGCACCAACACTGAATGTGATCCCAGGGATATAACTGAACATTTTTATACCTCAGTTTTCTCATCTGTAAAATGGCTATAGTTACAACATCTACTTAATAGGTACTATATATAAAGTTGAATAGGAACTATATGTAAAGTTTATTCATGTAAAATGCTTAAAATAGAGTCTGAAAATACTGAGAAAATAACACCATGGTAGCAATTATTGTTGCTGTTCTTATTAACTCTTAAAATAATGATGATGTCAGACACTGTGCTAAAGAGATCAGGAAAAGAAGGCATTAGTTCCTATGATAGTCTGTACATTCTCCTCCTCTTACCTGTGTTTGGATCCATGAGGAAGGTTTCTTGTCAATAGGATTTGGGAAATACTTACCTTCTGGTGTTTACGCTGTTCCACTCTTAAGGCCATCCAAGGAGGTTTGACTAAAAGGTGATGAGAAATCAGTGGTTTGGTTGGTAAATGTTTCCAAACACTAGAGATTCTCTCTTCTATTTTTTATTTTTATTTTTTATTTTTGAGACGGAGTCTCCCTCTGTCGCCCAGGCTGGAGTGCAGTGGCTCAATCTCCACTCACTGCAACCTCCCTCTCCCGGATTCAAGCGATTCTCCTGCCTCAGCCTTGTGAGTTGTTGGGAACTACAGGTGTACGCCACCACACCCGGCTAATTTTTGTATTTTTAGTAGAGATAGGGTTTCTCCATGTTGGCGATGCTGGTCTCAAACTCCTGACCTCAGGTGATCCACCTGCGTCTGCCTCCCAAAGTGCTGAGATTACAGGCGTGAGCCACCATGCCGGGCCTAACTCTGGAGTTTCTCATTAGAGACAGAGAATTCTGAATCAGAGAGTGATGATTCCAAGTATTATCCAAAGGCGATTTGGAAATGTTTTCTGAAGTATCATTAAGGCCTATGTTTCTATTAAAGGCATTGCTAATTTTCTTAAGACTTAAAAAAATAGATAAAACTTCATCTTTGTTTCATCCTGTCTATTAAAGTATACCTAATAAGGTATCTAGTACATTAATTTTTAAAATGTAAATTGACCTTTCACGACAAACACACTGAACAAACTAGGAATAGAAGGAAATCACTTTAACATAAAAAGATCATAAAAGAAAAGCCCCCCCAACCTTTTTTTTTTTTTTTTTTTGAGATGGAGTCTCGCTCTGTCGCCCAGGCTGGAGTGCAGTGGTACAATCTTGGCTCACTGCAAGCTCCGCCTCGTGGGTTCATGCCATTCTCCTGCCTCAGCCTCCTGAGTAGCTGGGACTACAGGCGCCCACCACCACGCCCAGCTAATTTTTTAAATTTTTAAATTTTTTATTTTTAGTAGAGACAGGGTTTCACCATGTTAGCCAGGATGGTCTTGATCTCCTGACCTCGTGATCTGCCCATCTTGGCCTCCCAAAGTGCTAGGATTACAGGTGTGGTGGCGGGCGCCTGTAGTCCCAGCTAATCAGGAGGCTGAGGCAGGAGAATCGCTTCAATCTGGGAGGCAGAGGTTGCAGTGAACCGAGATCGTGCCACTGCACTCCAGCCTGGGCGACAGAGCGAGACCCCATCTTAAAAAAAAAAAAAGAAAACTATAAAGATTTTTACCAAAAAATTGTTAGAAGTAATACATGAATTCGGGCCGAGCATGGTGGCTCACGCCTGTAATCTCAGCACTTTGGGAGGTTGAGGTGCGCAGATCACGAGGTCAGGAGATCGAGACCATCCTGGCTAACACGGTGAAACCCTGTCTCTACTAAAAATACAAACAATTATCCAGGCATGGTGGCGGGCGCCTGTAGTCCCAGCTACTCGAGAGGCTGAGGCAGGAGAATGGCGTGAACCAGGGAAGTGGAGCTTGCAGTGAGCCGATATCACGCCACTGCACTCCAGCCTGGGCAACAGAGCCAGACTCCATCTAAAAAAATAATAATAATACATGAATTCACCATACAAAATCAACACCCCAAATCAGTTGTGTTTCTATTTAGTAACAATGAGCAATCCACAAAGGAAATTAAGAAAAATATCCCAACCACAATAGCATCAAAAAGAATAGAATAATTACAAATAAACTTAACCAAGGAGGCAAAAAACTTGAACACTAAAAACTACAAAACGGTGCCGACAGAAATTTAAGGAGACACAAATAAATGGAAGGACATCCTGTGTTCATGGATTTGAAGACTTAATATTGTTAACATGTTCATACTATCAAAATGATCTATAGATTCAATGCCATCTCTATCAAAATGCCAATGCCATTATTTTCAGAAAAGGAAAAATATCCAAAAATTCATATAGAATCTCTAAGGACTCAGAATAGCTGAACCAATCTTGAAAAAGAAGAATAAAGTTAAAGGCCTCATAGTTCCTGATTTCAAAGCATATTACAAAGCTACAGCGATCAGAAAAGTGTGGTACTGGTATAAAGACAGACATATAGACCAATGGAACAGAATAGAGAGGCCAGAAATAAACCCTTGTGTATGCGGTCAAATGATCTTCAGCAAGGATGCCAAGACTACACAATGGAGGAAAGGACAGTCTGCAAGAAATGGTGTTGGGAAAATTGGATATACATATGCAAAAGAGAAGACAGACTCTTACCACATATCTCATATAAAAATTAACTCAAAATAGATTAAAGACTGAAATGTAAAACCTATAAGTACAGAACCTCAAGAAGAAAACACAGAGGAAAAGCTTATGACATTGAAATGAACAATAACTTCTTGTATATGACACCAAAAGCATAAGCAATAAAAGCAAAAATAGACAAATAAGACTACATCAAACTTAAAAACTTCTGTGTAGCAAAGAAAACATTCAACAGAGTGGCAAGGCATCCTACAGAGTGGAAGAAAATATATGCAAACCATATATTTGATAAAGGGTTAATGTTGCTGAGTGCAGTGGCACATGACTATAGTTCAGCTATTCAGAGGCTCAGGTGGGAGGATAACTTGAACCTAGGAGTTCGAGACCAGCCAGAGCAACATAGTGAGACCTCTGACTCAAAAAAAGAAGATAAAGAGTTAAATCCAGGCCAGGCGCTGTGGCTCATGCCTGTAATCCCAGCACTTTGGGTGGCCGAGGCAGATGGATCACTTGAGGTCAGGAGTTCATGACCAGCCTGGCCAACATGGTGAAACCCTGTCTCTACTAAAAATACAAAAAATTAGCTGGGCGTGGTGGTATGTGCCTGTAATCCCAGCTACTCGGGAGGCTGAGGCAGAATAATCGGTGGAACCCGGGAGGTGTAGGTTGCAGTGAGCTGAGATCGCTCCATTGCACTCCAGCCTGGGCAACAGGAGCGAAACTCTGTCTCAAAAAAAAAAAAAAGAGTTAATATTCAGAATATATGAAGAACTCCTATAATACAACAACAACAAAACAAATAATTAAATAATGAGTGGTATGGACTGAATTTTGTTTCCCCCAAATTCATATGCTGAAGCATATTTAATACCTCAATATGATGGTATTTAAAGATGGAGCCACTGGTAGGTAATTAGGGATAGGTGATGTCATGAGGGTGGGACCCTTAGGATGGCATTAGTGCTTTTGGCCTGGCGCAGTGGCTCATGCCTATAATCCCAGCACTTTGGGAGGCCGAGGAGGTGGGCAGATAATTTGAGGCCAGGAGTTTGAGACCAGCCTGGTCAACATGGTAAAACCCCATCTCTACTGAAAATACAAAAATTAGCTGGTGTGCCCCTGTAGTCCCAGCTACGTGGGGGGCTGAGGCAGGAGAATTGCTTGAACCCAGGAGGTGGAGTTTGCAGTGAGCTGAGATCGCACCACTGAACTCCAGCCTGGGGCAACAGAGTGAGGCTGTCTAAAAAAAAAAAATCTTCTAGTAGATATTATTGCTTTAATAAGAAGAGGAAGAAATTCCTTCTCCTTCCTGATGTGGGAACACAAATAATTCACGTAAATACACAGTGAGATGGAGGTTGCCCACAAGTCAGGAAGAGACCCCTCACCAGAACCCAACCATGCTGGCACTCTGATTTTTTACTTCCAGGCTTCAGAAATGTCAGAAAATAAATTTCTGTTGTTTAAGCCACCCAGTGTGTGGTATTTTCTTGTGGCAGCCTGGGCTGACTAATACAATGGGCAAAAAACTTGAATAGACATTTCTCAAAAGAAGATACATAAATGGCTAAGAAGCATATAAAAATATGCTTAACATCACTAATCATCAGGGAAATGAAAATTAAAACCACAGCGAGATGTCACTTATCCTGTTATGATAGCCTCTGTCAAAAAAACAGAAAATAGCAAGTGTTGGCGAAGATGCGGAGAAATTTAGAACACTTGCTTATTGTTGGTAGGTGGCTTAGTCTGTTTTCTGCTGCTTTCCTAGAATGTAACAGAGTGGGTAATTTATGTGTGTGTGTGGGTTTTTTTGTTTTTGTTTTTGTTTTGACACGGCGTCTCGTTCTGTTGCCCAGGCTGCAGTACAGTGGTGTGATCTCGGCTCACTGAAACCTCTGCCTCCCGGGTTCAAGTGATTCTTCTACTTCAGCCTACCGAGTAGCTGGGATTATAGGTGCACGCCACTATGCCCGGCTAATTTTGTATTTTTAGTAGAGATGGGGTTTCACCAAGCTGGCCAGGCTGGTCTCAAACTCCTGACCTCATGATCCACCTGCCTCGGCCTACCAAAGTGCTAGGATTACAGGCATGAGCCACCATGCCTGGCCCAGAGTGGGTAATTTATAAGGAGAAGAATTATTTGGCTTGTGGTTCTGGAGGCTGGGAAGTTGAAGAGCATGGCCCTGGCATCTTGCAAGGGGCTTCAAACCGCATCATGACATGGTGGAAGCGTAAGTGTGCATGTGAGACAGAGAGAAAGACAGGGAAGGGCCCAACTCATCCTTTTCATCAGGAACCCACTCCTGCAATAACTAACCCACTCCTGTGATAGTGGCGTTAATCCATTCATGAGGTTGGAGCTATCATTACCTAATTCACCTCTTAAAGGCTCCACCTCTTAATACTGTTACAATGGCAATTAAGTTTCCAATACATGAACTTCCACACATTCAAACCATAGTAGTGGGAATGTAAAATGGTGCAGACACTGTAAAATACAGTATAGCACTTCCACAAAAAATTAAAACCAGAACTACCTTATGATCCAGAAATTCCACTTCTGGGTATACAATATATTAAAAAGAATTAAAAACAGGATCTCAAAGAGATATTTGCACACTGATAGTTATTACAGCATTACTCACAATAGACAAGAGGTGAAGCAACCTAATATCCATTGACAAATGAATGGATTTTTAAAATGTGGTATATACATGGAGTGGAATATTATTCAGCCTTAAAAAAGAAGAAAATCTTGTCACATGCTATGACATGGGTGAATCTTGGGGACATTATGCTAAGTGATTAAATAAGCCAGTGACAAAAAGACAAATATTTCATGGCTGATTCCATGTATATGAGGTATCTAAAGTAATCAAATTTATAGAAACAGAATTGCAGTTGCCAGGAGCTGCAGGGAGGAGGAAATGGGGTGTTATTGTTCAATGGGTATAGGGTTTTAGTCATGCAAGATAAAAAGTTCTAGGGATCTATTTCACCACTATGTGCATATAATTAATAAAGTTGTACACTTAAAAATTGTTAGAAGAGTAAATATATGTTATATGATTTCTTACCACAGTAAAAAATAAATTAACTTAAATTAGGGATTTTAACTGAGTTCAGATAAAGATGTATAGATGTGTGGTAAACCATGGGAGATAGATTCCCGCTAAAGAGCCATTCTTTTCATGTCAAAACATTGGCAGAAAAGCAAACACTGGCCTTTCATACCTCTTACAGTATTTTTAGGTCCTAAGGAATCTAAAATCCATAGATGGGGAAATCGTAGACCCAATCCAAGTTGCTTTCTCTAGTTTGGGTAGATTGACTCTTTTTACTTCTAAACTCTCCTAACCAAGCAGTAGAAGAGGAAATGAGCTTCACACTTCTATTTTATAATTATGATACATTATTTTATTTACCTGATGCTGTCTCTGGTCAGTGACATATGGGAAAGATCAGGGAAACTAAACAGCTCTCTCAAACCCGCTCCAGAATCGAGACAAAGAAGTAGATTCATTTTGGTATAAGAGGATCATATAGTATGATTAAATGTACATAAATGATATATCTTTACTTAATATTATTTCTTCTTCTAAGAAATTTAAATCAATATTATGAGATTGGTATTAGAAAGCTTTTTCGTGGATTTACAGTTTAATTAAGTTTGCTTTCATTGTTCTATGATGTATTAACAATGTTTAGCAAACACAATTTAAAAAAAAAAAAAGAATGACAAATTTTAAACATATAGAAAACAATGGAGAATGGTACTGGAAAACCTATACATCCATCACCATTCAGTCCAATGTCAACATTCTGTCACAATTGTTTCAGATCTTTTTATGTGTATTTCAAAATTTAAAAACAAAAATAAAAACATACAAAAAAACTAACCAAGCCACAGTGAAGCCACCTGCCAGCCCTTCCTTCTTTTGTTGTGATGATAAATGTTCTGAATTTGGCACTCTTATTCACATTTAGATTTTATACATTTACCACTTATTATTGTATCTATAAATACTATATATATTTTACAAGTTTTAAAACTTTATATGAGGCCAGGTGTGGTGGCTCATGTCTGTAATTCCAGCACTTTGGGAGACCAAGGCGGGTGGACTGAGGTGGGTAAGGAGTTCAAGACCAGCCTGGCTAATATGGCAAAACCCCATCTCCACCAAAAATACAAAAATTAGCTTGGCGTGGTGGCACATGCCTGTAGTCCCAGCTATTCAGGAGACTGAGACAGGAAAATCGCTTGAACTTGGGAGGTGGAGGTTGCAGTGAGCTGATATTGTGCCACTGCACTCCAGCCTGGGCAACAGAATGAGACTCTATCTCAAAAACAAAAACAAAAACAAAAACAACAAACAAACAAACAAACGTTATATGAATAACCTCTTACTGTATATACTGTCTTGCATTTTGCTTGTTTGTTGAACATTTATGCTTTTGAGGGAAGATTCTTTTTCCTTTGTTAAATTCTGAAATGTAGCTGAGACCTAAACCCAGGCTGGTTTCAGGAGGTCACTATTTTTCCCGCCCTGAGACGGAGTCTTCTCATTCTGTTGCCCAGGCTGGAGGGTGGTGGCACAATTTAGGCACACTGCCACCTCTGCCTCATGGGTTCAAGCTATTCCCCAGCCTCAGCCTCCTGAGTAGCTGGGGTTATAGGCACCCACCACCACACCCGGCTAATTTTTTTTTTTTTTTTAATTTTTAGTGGAGACGGAGTTTCACCATGTTGGCCAGGCTTGTCTCAAACTCCAGACCTCAAGTGATACGACCACCTTGGCCTCCCAAAGTGCTGGGATTACAGGTGTGAGCCACTGTGCCTGGCCAGGAGGTCACTTCTAAATCTTCCTGGGGGCTATGCACGGTGCCTCATGCCTGTAATCCTAGCACTTTGGGAAGCTGAGGTGGGAGGATCGCTTAAGCCCAGGAGTTTGAGGCTGCAGTGAGTTATGATTGCACCACTGCACTCCAGCCTGGGTGACAGAGTGAGACCTTGTCTGTAATAATAGTAACAATCACCATCATCATCATCATCATCATCATCATCATCATCATCATCATCCCAGCACTTTGGGAGGCCAAGGCAGGCGGATCACTTGAGGCCAGGAATTTGAGACCAGCCTGGCCAACATGGTGAAACCCCATCTCTACAAAAAATACAAAAATTAGCTTGGCATGGTGGTGCACATCTGTAGTCCCAGCTACTCGAGAAGCTGAGGTGGGAGAATTGTTTAACCCGGAAGGCAGAGGCTGCAGTGAGCCAAGATTGCACCATCCAGCCTGGATGACAGAGGGAGACCCTGTCTCAAAAAAATAAAAAATAAAAATAGGCCAGGCGTGGTGGCTCATGGCTGTAATCCCAGCACCTTGGAAGGCCAAGATGGGTAGATCACCTGAGGTCGGGAGTTCGAGACCAGCTTGACCAACACGGAGAAACCCCATCTCTACTAAAAAAAATTTACAAAAAATTAGCTGGGCGTAGTGGTGGATGCTTGTAATCCCAGTTACTTGGGAGGCTGAGGCAGGAGAATCGCTTGAACCTGGGAGGTGGAGATTGCAGTGAGCCAAGATCATGCCATTGCACCCCAGCCTGGGTGAAAAGAGCAAAACTCCATCTCAAAAAAAAAAAAAAAAAAAAAATCCTACTTCCCTTCCCTCTTACCTTGCTGCCTAGGGGTCCATTCTTCATCAGAATCTTCTGTGTCATCCACCTGGAGTTTGATGGCCTGCCTTCGGTGACACATGAAAGCTGGTCGAGTGGCTCTGAGACCTGAAAAGAAGCAAAAATTTTGTTCTAAAATGGAAGAGCTGGGAGAAGGAACAAAGGGCAGTGGCAATGGAAAGCACCACAAAGCCAGTGCTGCTCAGTCTGATGAGCTGGGAGAGTCTTGAACAAGGTCAAGATGTGACCTCTGCATGGTCAATATCCACACTCAGCCCTGCACTGACGCAAAAGAACAAAATTTCCCTCCAGATTTGTCTACATGAAAAAGGGAATTGTGGGCAGATGCCACCACCTGAGAACTAAAATAATATAGGGACCAAAGACCTGTTTTATGTCTCCCAGGCTGGTCTGTGCCCAGCACTTCCTGTTACCTATAGTAATCAGTGCATTATAGTTCCTTTTCACATTCCTATAGCGAGTTTTCTCCCAGTCTCCCATCTCTGCCCATTCTTCCTTGGTGAAGTATATGGAAATGTCTTTGAAGGCATCTTTGACCTAGAGGAAGTAACAGATTCCATCAGTGATTTACTAGTACACATCAAGCTGGTCCTTTTCCTCTACCCTGTGTGTAGGACATAGCCTGGGGCCTCTGGGAGTCTCTGTGAAACATAAAGATCTTCCCTCCTTCTCCAGACTGTGTCCCATTTAACTGAGCAGACCCTGAGCATTTTCCTAGCTCTCTGCTGACACAGAGCAGTCGCTGATGCTAGTGTTCTTTTCTCCCCCATGTCCTGGCCAGGACCAGCTGCCCCCATTCCATGCACATTCAGATAGGGTCCCCCAAGGGTACAGGCCAGGAGTCTGCAGCACTCCAGAGATCAGCTCCTGCTAGGAGTCCAGCTTCGCTTCCTCCACTTCTCACCATGGGCTTCCGCTCTGTTCTCTCTGTGTCTTCTTCTGGGCTCTCCTCTTGGGACTTTTCAGGGCTCATGGTGCTGGGACTGTCTAGAAGGCCCTGCTCCAATTCTGAGTGTGAGAAGGGCCCTGAGTCTCCCAGCTCCTAGGCCAAAGGCTCCTGTGGAAGGAGAAGGTGCTGAGAGGGGGCAACAGCCCTGAGCACTACCCAGAACCAGGCTCTGTCTTCTCCATCTGGCTGGGTGTTCAGAGCAGGAAGATGTGGATTCCTGGTGAGGTCTCGAGCACCCCAGGGAGATTTGAGGGTACTGATGGGATGGGAAGGCCTCCACTGGCCATGAGCTACCACCTAATGTAAGCTGGATTTTGTTCTTTTAGTTCCCCTGCAGCTAGGCTCATTTGGAGAAGGGTGGCACAGGTGCCTGGAGGGTTGTAGCTACCGGTGTTTGAGGGGAGTCCTGAGGTGTGAGAGCCAGAGGAGTCCCAAGGAGACCTTGAGGCCCCCCGACTGCTGAGACTTGGGTCAGACTGAGGGGCAGAGTTCTGTTTCAGCGAGACAAAATGAACATTTCGCATAGACAGGATTTGGGGACCTCTACCTGAGGATTCTAGAAAAATCCAGGAGTAAAGCAGTCTGCATCTCTAAGGGGAAGCTATTTCTCAGGTTGAGATTTGGGGTCCCTCAGGCTGAGGGGATTTGAGATGTCTTAGACTGAAGAAATTGGGGTTTTTCAGGTTGAGGAAATTTGGGGTATCTCGAGCTGAGGAGCTTTGGTATCCCTCAGGCTGATAGTATCTGTGGTTTTTTCAGGATGAGATTTGGGGTCTTTTAAGCTGAAGAGATTTGGAGTGCTCAAGCTGACAGGATTTGAGATTCATCAGGTTAAGGGGATTTGGGGTTCCTCAGGATGAAAGGATTTGAGATCTTTGAGGCTGAGGAAATTCTGGGTCTCAGGTAAAGGAGATTTGGATCTCTCATTAAGGGGTTTTAGGGTCTTTGACACTGAGGTTATTTGGTCCTTGAAGCTGAAGGGATTGAGTTTTCAGGCTATTTAGGTTATCTGAGGTTGGGGAAATTTGGTCTGTCTGTGGGTGAGATATTTAGGGTTCCTCAGGCTGAGGGATTTGGGTTGCCTTAGGGTGAGGGGAATTGCGGCTTCTCAGGCTCAGAATATTTGGTGCTCTAAGCATTAGGAGATTCGCTGTTCCTCTGGGTGAAGGGATTTGGAGTCTCTGAAGCTGAGGTACTTTGGGGGTTTCATGCTGAGGGGATTTTAAATCCCTCAAGGTGGCAGGATTTGGGGTCTCTTGAGGCTGAGAGGATTTGGAGCTTCCCAGGGTGAGGGGATCTGGGGTCTCCCAAGCTAAAATTTGAAGGTCTCGGGATGAGGGTTTACAAGGGTTTCACGCTGCACGACAAAGGCTCCCCATGCTCTTCACAATCTCCCGTGCTCTCCTGCCGCGGCGTTCACCCTGGCCGGGCGTTCTCTCAGAGTCCCTCAGGAGGTGAGATGTGGTGGAGGGCGAAGTGCCAGGCTGTACAGCTGCCAGCCAATCAGCACGGAGACCAAGGCGAGCCCGCCATTCAGCAGTCAGGAGGCGCTAAATGGGCGGGGAGTAGGGCGGAGCCTTGCCTGTCAGTCACGGGCACAACCCGGTTTGGGGCTCAGGAGGTGGGGGAGGGGCCTGGCTCTTCCCGCCCCTGAGGAAGGTCCCTCCCCTCCCAGAGGGGATTGCGTGTAACCCTCCGGCGCGCAGGCGCAGTTTCGAGGGTTTTATTACTTGGTTTTCCCCAACTCCGGTGTTTGCGACTGAGTCGGGCGTCGGGGCTGCTCCTCACGTCCCTCCGCAGGCCTGGGTCTTCCAAGGGGACACTGTGTCTTTTTGAATTGCCAGAGTTCTTGCACTGATTCTCATCTGGGAGGGTTGGTGTTCCTTTAACTGTGGTGTAAGTTGGGTATTGTCAGCTGGCTTCGTTTCTGGATGCTTCAGAGGGCCAGGGTTCTGTACAGGACCCTTACGTGTGGGTGAATTGTGCTTGGTTTCACAGATGTTGTATTAGCTGGCCAATTTTGGTGTTGTAGTTAGGGCCGTGATCCAATAGATGGTGCTTAAGAGGCACGGCTGCTATCTCCGGTAGCAAGGCTCTTTTGTACTTTGCGTTCGCAGGCGTGCTTTGCGGTGAGACGGGAGAGCAATAGCCCTTTACCAGCTCCTAGGTCTTGGGGGAGCCTCCTGTAATCACTGGTGGCTGCCTGCGTTGCTTTTGTTAGGTGTTCTGGGCTGCGGGGCTCCCTCGGGCAGAGGCTGCATAGGTCGCCCCTTTTCTGGACTGGCCCTCTGGAGGGAGGCATGCCTCGCTCCCTCGCTGCCCAGTGTCCCAAATGTCTCACCTCTCTCAGTGCTCTGAGAGTGGGGGCTCCTCCCCCGTTCAAGTGCTAGCCACAGATCTCCCCCCCGCCCCCGGTATCCCTAGCTACGTGCCACAGCCCTGGGGACACCAAGAAGTATGGCTTGAGGTTGGGCTCTCGCTGTGCTGGGGAATCCAATGTACTCCTGGGTCACGGGTAAGGTACTCAGGTGGAGCGATGCACTCAGGCTGGGCTGCAGAGGCTGCACTGTGTGTGCACCTGCTCTTGCAGAGTGGCTAGGCATGGGCCCTGGGAGGGGCCAGTGGGCAGGAGGACTTTCAGAACAGAGGCACCCAAGTCCCACAGGGAAGCTGCCCCTGCTGTCTCCTGGGTCAGAGGTCAGCTAATGCCAGAGTCTCCTGCAAGGAGATACGGAGCCTGGGGGATTGGCATCTCTATTAGTCCGTTCTCGCACTGCTATAAAGAAATACCTAAGACTGTAATTTCTAATGAAAATAGATTTAATTGGCTTATTGTTCGGCAGGCTGTACAGGAAGCATGATGCTGGCACCTGCTTGGCTTCTTGGGAGACTTACACTCATGGCAGAAGGTGAAAGGGGAGTCAGCACTTCACGTGGCCAGAGCAGGAGGAAGAGAGAAAGGCGGGGAGGTGCTATACACTTTTAAACAACCAGATCTCACTATACAGTTCCAAAGAGGGATGGTGCTAAACCATTCATAAGAAGTTTGTCCTGTGACAAACTTCACAGGCCTCCCACCAGGCCCCACCTCCAACACTGGCGATTACATTTCAACATAAGATTTGGACAGGGACACAAATCCAAACCATATCATTCCATTATATGGAATGCTACCGTATGATGCATTATCTGTTATCATTAACTCAAAATAAATTAAAGACTGAAATCTAACACCTAAAAGTACAGAACTCCAAGAAGAAAAAAAATAAAATCTTTATAACATTGGAATGAGCAATTACTTCCTGGATATGACACCAAAAGCATAAGCAACCAAAGCAAAATTAGATAGATGGGAGTACGTCAAACCTAAAAACGTCTGTGTAGCAAAGGAAACAATCAACAGTGACAAAGCAACCTATATAGAACGGGAGAAAACATTTGCAAATCATATAACTGATAAGGAGTTAATATCCAGAAACTTATAAAAAAAAGTCTTAAAGCTCAACAACAAAAAATAACTTGATTAAAAAATCAAAGGTGGGATGCAGTGGCTTATACCTGTAATCCCAACACTTTGGGAGGCCAAAGAGGGAGGACTCTTTGAGGCCAGGAGTTTCAGATTAGCCTGGGCAACATATTGAGGCCCATCTCTACCAAATTATGTTTTTTTAATTAGCTGGGTGTTGTGGTCCCTGCCTTAAGTCCAAGCTACATGGGAGGCTGAGGTGGGAGGGTCACTTGAGCCCAGGAGTTCAAGACTAGCCTGGGCAACATAGGGAGATCCCGACTACAAAAAATTAAAAAATTAGCTGGGTGTGGAGGCACTTGCCTGTAGTCCCAGCTACTTGGGAGGCTGAGGCAGGAGAGTTGGTTGAACCCGGGAGATGGAGGCTGCAGTGAGCCAAGATTGCACCACTGTACTCCAGCCTGGGTGACAGAGTGAGACTCCATCTCAAAACAAAACAAAACAAAACAAAAAACAAAACCAAACAAAAAAACCCCCAAAACCTAGGAGTGCCTCTATGGTGAGAGTATGTTTAACTTTAATAAAAACTGCCATATTGTTTTCTGAAGTTGCTGTATCATTATGCATTCCACTAGCATTGAACGAGAGTTCCTGTTGCAACTTATTTTAATTTTATTTATTTAATTGTTTTTTTGAGAGAGAGTCTTGCTCTGTAGCCCAGGCTGAGTGCAGTGGTGCGAACACTGCTCACTGCTGCCTCTACCTTCCAGGCTCAAGCAATTCTCCCATCTCAGCTGGGATTACAGGTGTGTGCCACCAGGGCTGGTTAATTTTATTTTATTTTTAAATTTTTGGTAAAGATGGGGGTCTCACATGTTGCCCAGGCTGGTCTTGAACTGGTTTCAAGTGATCCTCCCGACTTTGCTTCCCAAAGTGATGGGATTACAGGCATGAGCCACTGTTCCCAGCCTCCTGTTGTAATTTTTATTACATTAAAAAAAGGTTTTAGTCACATTAGTAGATGCTCAGTGGTATACCATTGTTGCATTAATTTGCTTTTCCCTATGACAAGTGCCATGAGCATTCTTTTGGATGCTTGTTTGTTGTCTTATCTTTTTTAGTGAGGTGTCTACCTTTTAATTGTGTTGTCTTCTTGCTGAGCATTAGAATTTCTTTGTATATTTTGCATATAAATCCCTTTCAGGTTTGTTTTATAAATATTTTCTCTCAGTCTGTGGCTTGGTTTTTCATTCTCGTAGCAGGATGTTTCAGAGTAGACATTTCAAATTTTAATAAAGTCCACATCATCAATTTTTTTTCTTTGATGGACTTGCTTTTGCTATTGTATCTAAAAATTTATCACCAACCCAAATCCATGTAGGTTTTCTTCTATAACTTCTACAATTTTATATTTGGAAATTTAAGTCTATAGATTATCTTGAGTGATTTTTTGGTTGAGCCATGAAGTTTGTGTCTTTGTGGGTAATTTATAAAGAAAAGAGGTTTAATTGGCTCATGGTTCTGCAGGCTGTCCAGAAAGCATGGCTTGGGAGGCCTCAGGAAATTTACAATCACGGTGAAAGGCAAAGAGGAAGGAGGCACGTCTTACATGGCTGGAGCAGGAGGAAGAGGGTGAAGGCACAAGTTCTACCCATTTTTAAACAACCAGATCTAATGGGAACTTATTATCACAAGGACAGCAAGAGAGAATTTACCACCATGATGTAATTACCTGCCAACAGATCCCTCCTTCAACATACGGGATTACAATACGACATGAGATTTGGGCAGGGACACCAATCCAAACCATATCACAAGCATAAGAGAAATGTGTTATCTTTCATTGCTTCAAGTATGTATGTGTGTGTTTCTTTGTTAAAAAAAAATAAACATTTTTATCTCTTGCCATGTCAGTGGGGGAATCTATACAGCTACAATTATAGACCATACTTTAAAAGAGTTAGTTGTAAGTTTAAGATGAATAAAACCTGAAGCAAATGAAAATCCATACTTTCTCCAGGATTTTATAAAGTGTTAGAGGATAGTGGTTTCATATCAGTCTCTTTAAGTGCAAACCGTATGCCAATTTTGTAAAAACCTGCATTAATAAAGCATTATTTTAAGGACCATTGGGGAGATGAAAAATAAAGGATAAATTATCTTATTTCTTAATGCACAATTTAGTAGATGAAAAGACATACTTCAATAAATTGGTATTTGTACTTTTTAGTTTGCTAATTTTATCTTTATTTTTCCAAATGAATAGTAACCATGCTTTTTAACGTGTTAAACAAAACTGCTATTACCTTATATGTGAGATTCAAGTTCTAAAGATTCAAAAGCTTTAACTCAAATTTCAATAATGTTTGAAAATGTCTTGCTGAACTTTAAAGAAATGTGTGCAATTTGTGCAATCAATAACAGTGTGGCAAACTTACTTTGCATATTGCTTTTTTTTTTTTTTTTTTTTTTTAGATGGAGTCTCACTCAGTTGCCAGGCTGGAGTCCAGTGGCACAATCTCGGCTCACTGCAATCTCTGCCTCCTGGGTTCAAGTGATTCTCCTGCCTCAGCCTCCCGAGTAGCTGGGATTACAGGCACACACTACCACACTCAGCTAATTTGTGTATTTTTAGTACAGACGAGGTTTCACCATGTTGGCCAGGATGGTCTCAATCTCCTGACCTCGTGATCCGCCTACCTTGGCTTCCCAAAGTGCTGGGATTACAGGCGTGAACCACTATGCCTGGCCCACATACTGCTTTTATGTAACTTTGTTTTATATCAGTAAACTTCTGGTTTATTTCTCCTACAACTCACCATGAAAAACATCAATGAGATAACTAGAATATCTGCTTTTCCTTATGACCAATTAGTGTGTGTCCTAGAAGGATTAATCCTCCTGCAAAAACAAAGCCACACTAATGACCTTATCAGGTTCCACTTGAAATAAAGAATAGACAATACACAGAAGGGAGATTCAAGACCGTTCTTTTTTTTATCTCTTTCCCTGTCGTATACTCAGGCGACCAAAGAGCATATGAAGACATGATTAAATATCCTTTTGGTCATCAGCTTCGAAACCTTCCTGCCAGCCAAAGCTGGAATTTTCTTCTAAAAAGGAGGAGAAAATTATACTCTCAGACCTAAATATTAAAAAGTTGAAATTGCAAATGGTATACTGGGGGGCATCTTGAGTACCTTCAGGAAATAAAATTATCACTGCCCTAACTAAGGCATGAATGAAGCCACCAAAGGATGAATAATTACGGGTGAGTTTGGAGGGTCACATCAAAAGATGTAAGATAGAAGAATCAAAAGAACTTGGAGACCAATTAGGTATGGAATTTGAAGAGGAAGGTGTAATCAAGTATAATTCACATTTTCCATCATAGCTATTCACTAAGATGATGTTTCTTCAAAACAAATTTTAAAAGACATACATAAGCATTATTTATTTTAAACACTTGCATAGTAAGTCTTTTAGTACATAGTTGCACATAGAGGAAGACAGGGACCATTTATTTATTTAAAGCTTGTCAAGAATTCAGCCATATATTTCCCAAATATTTACTGAAGGCAACTATGTACCAGGCACTGGTTTTGGTTTGGATATAAAACGGGCAACTAAGTTACGGTTTCTCTTTTACTTATAGTGCTTGTATTTTACTTAATACTACATTCTCAATCAAACTGTTACCCAAATAAATTTATGTTAAATTCTATGAAGGAAGAATGTGTATTGTGCTAAAAGTTCATAACTGAAGGATCCTGTGCTAGTGGGGCAGGATAAAGGGTACAGGAAGCAACATTAGAACCAGGGTCTGAAAGATGACAATACACTAGCCTACAGGGTAAAATCAGTCTGATGGGAAGAGGGAGAGAAGGTGAATGTATTTCACATGGCACCAATGTCATGGAAAATGTAAAAAAAGATGAAGATAAAAATGCAAGTGGGAGATAGACCATACGGGTACATATAAATTTTATTCTCAGTTGTATTACAAGTAGTGTTTTGACTGGCAGTATAATATGCATAACCACAGCTTATGAATGTCAGAAACTGTACACTTGGTTATAAACAACCATATGCCAACAAATCGAAAAGCCTGAAGAAAATGGGTAAGTTTCTACACACATTCAACCTGCCAAAAATGAACCAAGAAGAAATAACAAACCTGAATAGATGAATAAGTTGTAACAAGTTTGTGTCAGTAATAAAAAGTCTCCCAACAAAAAAAAGCCCAGGACCTGATGGCTTTACTTCTGAATTCTATCAAACTTTTAAAGAACTAACACCAATCCTCAAACTATTCAAAAATATTGAAGAGGAGGGAATTCTTCCTAATTCATCCCATGAGGCCAGCATTATCCTGATACCAAAACTAAACAAGGACACAAAAACAACAAAAGCTAAAGGCTAATATCCATGATTAACATAGAAGTAAACATCCTTAACAAGATACTAGTAAACAAAATTCAACAGCACATCAACAAGACAATACACCAGGATCAAGATAATTTATTCTAGGGATGCAAGGATTCTTCAATATACACAAATAAATAAATATGATACACCATGTCAAAAGAATAAAGGACAAATGCCATAAGATCATCTCAATAGAAGCATGAAGAGCATTTGATAAAGTGCAAGACCTATTCATGAAAAAAACTCTCAATAAATTAGTTATAGAATAAACATACCTCAACACAGAGTGCAAAGTTTGGAATATGTGCAGTCTGGCAAAGTGGTAGGAAAAAAAATAAATTTCTGCAGAAGAATTCAAGCCAGATGCTGAAATCTGTGTAAGTAAAAAGTAGCCAAATGTTGATAACAAAGATAATGGAGAAAACGGGCATTTTAGAGACCTTCATGGCAGCTCCTCCCATTAGAGGCCTGGAGGCCTAGGAAGGAGGAAAGATTTCATGGGTCCAGGGTCCCACTGTTCTGTGAAGCCCCAGAACATGTGCCCTACAGCCCAGGCACTCCAACTTTAGTCATTACTAAAAGGCCCCAGATACATCTCAGCCTGAAGCTCCAGAAGATGTAAACAATAAGCCTTGGTGGCTTCCAGGTGGTGCTAAGCCTATAGGTGCAGAGAGGGAAAGAGTTGAAGCTTGGGAGCCTCTGCTTAGGTTTCAGAAGATGTATGGAAATGCCTGGATGTCCAGGCAGAAGTCTACTGCAGGGGTAGAGCCTTCATTAAGAACCTACTTCAGCAGTTCAGAGGGGAATTGTGGGGATGGAGCCACCACACAGAATCCCCAATGCGGCACTGACTAGTGGAGCTGTCAGAAGTAGGCCACCATCTGCCAGATCCCAGAATGGTAGATTCATCATCAGCTTGCATAATGTGCCTGGGAAAGCCACAGGCAGTCAATGTCAGCCCGTAAAAGCAGCTGAGGAAGCTATACCCTGCAGAGCCCAAGGGGCAGAGCTGCCCAAGGTTTGGAATCTCACCCTTATATCACTGTGGCCGGGTGTGAAACATGGAGTCAAAGGAGATCATTTTGGAGTTTTAAGATTTAATTACTGCTCTGCTAGTTTTCAGACTTGCATGGAGCCTGTATCCATTTTGTTTGGCTGATTTCTCTCCTTTGGAATGGGTGTATTTACCCAATGCTTGTAACCCCATTGTATCTTGGAAGGAAGTAATTTGTTATTGATTTTACAGGCTCATAGGTGGAAGAAACTTTCCTTGCTTCAGATGAGATTCTGGATTGTGGAGTTTTGAGTTAATGCTGAACTGGGATAAGACTTGGAGGACTGTTCAGAAGGGATAAATGTATTTTGCAATGTGAGAAGGACGTGAGATTTGAGAGGGGCTAGGGTCAGGATGATATGGTTTAGATTTGTTTCCCACTCAAATCTCATGTCAAGTTTTATTCCCCAGTGTTGGAGGAGAAGCCTTCTGGGAGGTGATTGGATTATGGGGATGGATTTCTCCCTTGCTGTTCTCATAATAGTGAGTGAGTTCTCCTGAGATCTGGTTGTTTGAAAGTCTGTAACACTTTACCTTTTGCCTCTTCCTCCTGCTTCAGCCATGTAAAACGTGCCTTGAACTGTGAGTCAATTAAACTTCTTTTCTTTATAAATTGCCCCATCTCAAGTAGTTCTTTATAGCAATGCAAGAACAGACTAATACAGCTTACTTATGTGTTATAATATATCTTGTATGTAAGGCTAATGTGTTGGGCCCTATTAACATGTTGAATAATCCGTTACTAAAAATCCCCCCAATGAACAAGCATATGTCATGTGAAACAAGCATATGTCCTGGGTCCATGTTATTTGACATGTAGATTATGAAAGATGGTAAGTTAAAACAACAAATCTTTGACTCTTCTTTGCCACATCTATTGTTTTTTCCTCTGGCCAGCTTGTTTATTTACAAAAAAATACCACATCAACCTCTCTACACACATATACCTTTCTGATTGAAAAATGTTATGAAGAAGAAAATTATTTCTTGAGGCTAAGAAGACGATTGTATGTTTCTCATATCTTAAGGACTCATTTAAGGGTTGCAAGTAAAGAACAATGTGCATAATCACATTCCAGTTGTCCGAAATCTAGCTGAAGTTAGGAATCATGTTTCCTTAATTTTTTTAAGGCTATGCTATTAATATTTTGAGTAAGTGCATTAATTTTTTAAAATTTATTAAAGACTGAGATTGTCATCTGTATTTAATAAAACAAACATATTTAAATACTGATCAGTTTATAATTTGTATCATTATTTCTATTTTTATACCTACTTAAAGTATATATTTATATTATCTCTTTGGAGCATCTCTTTTACTAGCAGATTTTTTACTCAGTTTAAATTTCACAAACCAAATGGAGGATTTGTTGTGCTCCCTGTGTTGCCTCATAACTCTTAATTAAAGATTTATGCGTAGTCCATGGAAAGTAGAAAGCCTGTCATTAAAATTAAGAATCATCACCCTCCATTGAATTTTGTCAGGTGCATAATGTGTCACTGAGAAAGCATTCTGATTCTTATCAATGCAAATTTCCAAAGCTGAGAAATAACCAGGGGAAAAGAGAACATTATTGAATAAAGAGCAAATATAGCAATCTTTGTTTTATCTAGATTAGCAAAAAATTACATTAAATAACCCATATAGATAATTACTAAATTCAGCACCCCAAAACATTTTGTCAGATTGAGTAACTAGCTTTAAGGTGGTTCTTTTACTTCTTTTTTCTTTACCAATTCTAGAAAAAAGATTAAAGAATATTGATAGAAAAATTTCTGGTAGCATGGGGAGACCATAAATGAGTTATAATAATGCCCTGGTTCCAAAGGACCCAATTTTTTTCTCCCCATTATTCATCACCATGTCCTAAGCCTTTAAAGCATTACCTGAATCATACTAGATTCCCATAAATATCTCTCTCATTGTTGGACCATCTGTTTATTTGGAGTATTTTTCTAAAATGCAAAATACGCTTTCTCGAACATAAGCACAATTTACATTGTAATATAAAAAGCAGCATAAGCAGAGAAGTTATGTCCTTGACTTTCCCTCTTCCTGTCTCTGCCAAATCACTGTCATGTGTATGTTATTTATTATTTTCTTTATTTTTCTCAAATATTTTAAGCAAATGAAATTATATTTTTATCTGTATACCTTTTGGAATAAAGGAGAACACTATATATAATATTTAGAAGCTGATCTTTCAGTTTATCAACATATCCTGGTGAGTTTTTCCTAGTAAAAATAAATTCTTATATTCATTTTTTTCTGCCTTTTTTTTCTTTTAGAGGACTATAACCCATTTTCTATTAATGAGCACATGGAATCTTTATTGCATTTTTCTATCATAAACACTTCTACAATAATTGTGCCTGCATAAGATTTATTCTATATTTATACTGCTGTATTTCTGAAATAGAATTCCAAAATTCATAATTTTGTCAGGTACTGCCAGATATTCCTCAATAAATGCTGTTCTATTTTCTACCCACACAATGAACGCATTAAAATGCTGTCTCCCTAGATTGTTACAGGTGTGAATTGCTGGGTTTTACTTGCATTTATCTTACCATGAGGCAACTTGACCACTTTTTCATATATATCAATGCTGTTGCTACTTTTTCTGCTTTCCTGTGCCTTCAGCCCATTATTTTTAAATCAGCATGTTGGTCATTTTCTTCTGAATTGTAGGTGTTCTGTGCAATGTGGGAATATTCTCCTTTATTTGTAGTATGAATTGCAAATATTTTTCTAGTTTGTTATTTTTACCTATCTCTTTTTTGCTTGTGATGTTTTTAACAGCTTCTACATTGAAACAGATATTACATATTTCATTATTGTAAAAATGTTGCAATACTTTTTATACTTTATGGTTTAATGTTTTACAAGTAAGTTCTTAACTATTTGACATTTATCTTATAATGTAGAAAGAAAAATTCTGAATCTAAATTACCTTCCAGTTATCTCAATATCTTTTACTAGGAAGTCATTTTATAAACTCACTGATTTTAAATGCTTTCTTTGTCTTATATAAATTGTCTATTTATGAATATATACATTTAAAAATATATGTATTAATTGTATTATATGAAATAGACATGTACTCTGTTCATGTTTCAATATCATAATGGCTTAAATATTGGTAAATTATACCATGTTTTAATTATTGAAGTTCTAATACTTCCCACCAACCACTTAACATTTTTTTTGTGCTAGAAAATTTCTAGAAAGTTTTCCTTGTTCACTTCTGCATGTGTCGGTGTCAGCTTGTCTACTTACAAAAACAGAGATTAATTAAATTAGATTTAATTTAAATTAAATTAATTTAAATGAATGAATTCAAATTAAATTCATGAAATAAATTAAATTAAATTAAATTAAAATTTAATTCATTCATTTATATTTGACTAATTTTAAATTATGTTATAGACCATTTCTTTATATACATTTTACATATATTTTGTAGTTTTTACTTGTTCTTGTTAATATTGATGATGTAACATAGATCTCCTTTATACTTTAAAGCCAGTTCTTCTTGCTTGCATGCATGTGTATATCTGTGCATGTATGTGCACTCACACGTTTGTAAAGTCTATTCATATTTATATGTAAAATCTATTGTTTATATTTTATCTATATATGTATATATGATATATAAAAATCATATATGTGAAAATAACATATTTATATAGTTTATTGATGCTGTTATATTTGTTTTATATCTCACTAATAAAACATTTCTTGTCATTTTAATTTGATCTTATAGAACTTCCACTTTTATTTTCATATGATCTAAAAGAGATCTAATTTTATGTTTTTCTAATTCTATAATTGCAACTTTAATATCTATAAGTTGTTTATTGCATTCTCTAACACTTCCATTATAGTCATGAATACATTACTTTTGAAAGCCTATCTCAAATAATCCTTTATTGATAAGAAAACTTGATTTTGAGATATACATATATATTTGGGTATACATGCATATACATATATATGTTACAGATATAGATATATGAAATAATGATTTAAAAGAATTTTCATTAACTTATATTGATGTAATAGTTATGACTCAACAGTTTTGGATATTGCCAAGTGAATTTTCAGTATATTAGGTAATATTTATGTGATTTTTTTTCCTCCTGGGATCTCTTATTGTGATAAATTATATTAAAACATTTTCAAATGTTGAGTTATCCTTTTGTTCCCAGACTAAATCCCACTTTAATATCATGCTGTATTGTTTCATCTACATGTAAGTGAGATGTACTTACAGATTTTTAAGAACCAGTTAACAGAGTTTGTATAAATAGCACATTCACTTCTTATAAAGCTTTTAAATATTTATCTTTCTCTGTCTATGTCTTTCAACAAGATCTGGAATTCTTAATAGCACTGATAAAATCTTCTCTTACACTTTGATAGTGTATATTATAATCTAGTAAATATAAATGAGCCAGGCACATGGAGAAGGAAGCCTGTTCTAAGGATAGTAGTATTTGAAAAATATTTTTTATTTATTCTAGATATTTTTCCCATATACATTTTGTCTCTTGTTCAATATTATAAAATTTATATTTTTCTAAAAATTATCTATTTTTTGCATATAGCTGTGCAAAATATCTGATAATTTTTTTAATTTCCTCTATTTTCTTGATTAATTTTCTCTTCTCATTTTTATGAATGATGTGTGTGTTTGTATACCCTTCCCCTTTAAGGCTGCCTAGATTAGCTTGTGATAGAACTATTTTGCAGAATTTTCAAAGGACAAGCTTTATAATGTATTCACTTTACTTTTTTCTAGGTCTTTAATTTCTTCCTCATTCTTCATTAAATCTTTTGTCTTTTCTTTGGTTTGTTTTTTCTGTTTGTTATTGAAATTATGAAATTTTAAAATCATTTTTTACATTTTGCTTTATATTGATCTAAGATTTCAAGCTACAGGTTTTTTTCTGAATGAATTTTGTCTAAATACACTGTGTTTTCATTATCCCTGGCTTAGAGAAATATAACACTTACAGTTTGAATTTCTGCTTTGACCTAAAATGATCTGTTTAATAAAAGCATTTAAAAATTTGCATTAAAAAGTCTGAATTTTTTGAATATATATGTGGTAATATCCTGTTTTGATTTTCATTTCTACTTATTCTCTGTGTATTTTTGAGATAGTAGTATAGAGGTCGTAAGCTTAAATAAAGATAGAATGTGTTAAGAACTGCACCCTCACTCCCCAGGACAGCACCAGTAATATTGCTGGTACTGAATAAATGTTTTCTGATTCAATATTGACAAAGCAAATTACATTTTCTTCTGAACTTTCACCAATCATGTTAGCTTCCTAAGGGCAGAAATTTTGAATGCTGCATATATAGAGTATTATTACTTTCTTTATCTCTATGTAAATATTGTTATACTTTGCACACACACACATACACAAACAAGAAAAAGCAAATAACAGTATTACTTAGAGTGATAGAATTCATTTTACCACAATATCTTTTCCATCATTGTTTGCTTTTTTCTTGCATTTTCTAAACTAACATAAGTCAGGCTACTAATTATGTACAAAGAAATAAAAATTGTCAGAGAAGGAATAAATACAGGTAAAATAAATGTTTTTTAAAATATTAATTAACCGACCCATTAACCACTAAAAAATAACGTTTGCTTAAAGCAGTGATAATAACAATGTATTATGTAAGCATATAATGTGAATAAGTAAAATGAAAGGTACAATGTCAAAAGGATGGGAGGCAAGAATTAGAAACACTGTGTCATAGTGTCCCTGCACTATATGTGAAATGGTAGTTTTATTTGAAAGTAGACTTATACGGATTACAAATCTATACCATCAACTGTAGGGTAGCCACTAAAAAATTAAAAAATAAATAGGTATATGTGATCTACTAAGAAAGAAGATAAAATAGAATCACATAAGATGCTCAACTGAAATTATTCAAGTCAGGAAAAGAAAAATAACAAAGAACAAATGCCACAAATAGACAACAGTTACAAAAATAGATCTATTAATCCAATTTCATCAATATTGTGAATGATCAAAATATACCAATCAAGATAAAAAGATTGTAAGAGTGGACCAAAAAACAAAAAGACCCAATTGTGCTGTTACAAGAAACTCACTTTTCTATAATTACTCAAATAAGTTAAAAGTAGAGTTGAAGCCAATGGCAACTAGCACACATAGTGACCCACATTTTGATTTCTAACACTATTCTATGACAAAAAGACCCAGAGCTCCTTGGTGAAATGATTGATACCAGGTTTGAGTCAGGAAATATACAAGATAAGCATAGATCATAGTGTACCATCAATAATTACCCGATGCTGGTGGGGGTGGAGAAGATTATGATATGTCAAAAGGATACTGAGCACTTTGGAAAGCTGAGATGAGAGGTTTGTTTGAGGCCAAGAGTTCAAGACAAACCTGGGCAACATAGAAAGTCCCCATCTCAACAAAAGATATACAAATTACCTGGGTATGGTGGCATGTGTCTGTAGTTTCAGCTATTCGGGAGGCTGCAGCGGGAGATTCACTTGAGCCCAGAGGTCGAGGCTGCAGTGAGCCGTGATGGTGCCAATGTGATCCAGCTCTGGCAACAGAGCAGCAGACACTGTCTCTTAAAAATAAAATAAAAAATGGTATAAAAGACATCTGAAAGACACCCCTGACCACCACCACCAATGGCCAAGCATTCTGAACAACATAAATAAAGTAGCTCGGCTTAAAACCTAAAATGTAAAACAAATATTAACAGAATCATTCCAACATTAATAAATGATTGAATAAAAAATTGATGGGAAAATAATCAAATATACTATGTAAAATTCCAAATAATTTATGAAAACACTCCCGTGGCAAGGAGGTAGAGAATAACTCCCCACTATTTAAGTGGGCTGTGCACAGTGCTTTTCTTCCAGCGAATACAACACAGAAAGGGAAGAAAAACACAAAAGCAATTTCACATTGGGGAAAAATGAAAAATACTACCTCAAGCCAAAGATAAGTTTCACATCAAAGTGATGTCATATGAAAAGTGTTGATCCCTGAGAAACCAGGAGCCAAGATGGCTGACTAGATGCAGCAAGGACAAATAGCTGTCCAAAGGAGACCAGGACACTGGGAAGACTAGTACACTCTAGACATACTCATGTAAGATGGACAGAGGACACCGTCGCTGATCTAGAGAGGAAGGAAGCTGGGAACCCTGCATGGGGCTACCAAGCATCAGGACTTGTTCCTGGCTCCCAGAGATTCCTGACGAAGGGGTGAATTGAACAGGCAAGGAGTGACTCACTCTTGTCACAGCCTTCCAGGATCCTGGCATCAGGGGACTCTACAATCCCAACAGACACCTGAGCTGCTACAAAGAACTGTTTGTCTAGGTGGTAGGGGTAGGACCCCACCCTTTGTGGAGCCCAGAGTGTTTGGTGCAGGAGTGTCTGCTATGGAGCACAGGCAAGGACACCCATCCCCCCCAAGGCTTATCATGCTCCTCTAGGAAGGTTTAGCTTTGGAATGACTGTTGAACCTGAACAGGGCAGTAGAGGTCTTGCCCATGGGATGGGGCCAGTCTGATCTGAGGACACCCCCATCTGCTGTCCTCTCCTGGGGCCTCAGCCTAGCTGCTTCCATGTGCAGTGCATCCTAGGACATCTAACCAGGGTGTTTCTTGGTGGCCCTCATCATAACTCGTTGGCTGGTAAACCACGCTTGACCATTGGAAAGCTCCAACAGAGTGGCCCCTGCCAAAGTTCACCAGGCCACCCACACTCTCCCTCCACAACAACCTCCCCCACACCATGTTGCTGGCACACACTCGCCCAAGGCCATCACCCACTGATATTACCCATGCCTGCATACACACACATGCAATTAGCTTCCTCTCACCAGTGGGCACACAAGCGCCACTCTGCACAACTCCTGCCACTACAAGATGATCACATCCCAAAGAGCCCCTACTCCATGACATGTGGGGACCCAGCAATGCTGCCATAGCTGGTACCAACAGGGAACAAACCCTAAAAATTCTGCCTCACTTGTGCTGACATGCAGCTGCAGCAAAGTGTGCACAGACACTGACAACCCTGTCCTCACCTGCACCGTGCCCCCACCACACCACCAGTGCAAGCACACGGGAACACTGCAGCTCTGCTTCCCAGGTAACCACCCACCCAGTCAACACACATGCACAATTGCTGCACTGCTGTGGCTGCTGGCATGCACAAGAGAGAACAGATCCCACTGCCACTGGGTGACAAAACCCTTTAACCATCACCACCCATCAGACTGCTGTGGCCAGCAGATTGGAAACACCTTGGATCTTCCAGTGCAGCATGTTTTTAAATTCAAGGGGCCAGATAACAAAGCTGGGACTCCGTGCCAATCCCCAAGAGTTAGAGTACATATTCCAGGAGTGCTGTGCTGAATCTTGGCCCCCTAAAATCTTTCAGAAATGGGGCCAGTCAACTGAACCCACCATATACCACAATCAAACCTCCAAGTGCACCAAAGAAGATAAAAGAAAAAAAAAAACACACACTCAAAGGACAACATAAAAGACTGAAGGAACACCAGGCCACAAAGATGAGAAAGAAACAGTACAAGAACTCTGAAAACTTGCAAAGCCAGACTGTCTTCTCACCTCCAGGCAATGACACTAGTTCCTCAGCAATGGTCCTTAGCAATTAAAATGAATGAAGCAACAGAAATAGAATTCATAATATAAACAGAAACAAAGCTCATCAAGAATCAGGATGAAGTCTAAACTCAATCCAAAGACTCTAAGAATATAATAAAATGATCAGGAGATGAAAGAGAAAATGGCCATTTTTCAGAAAGAACCAAACTGATCTGATACTGCTTACAAACTTACTTCAAGAATTGCATAACACAATTGCAAACATTAACAGCAGAATTGACCAAGCTGAGGAACTTCAGAGCTAGAAGACCGGTTGTCCAAAATAACTCAGACCAAAATAAAGAAAAAAACAATGAAGAAGAAAGAAAAACCTTCAAGAAATATGGAATTATGTAAAGAGACCCAAATCTATGACATTGGCATCTCTGAAAGAGAGAGAAAGCAAGCAACTTGGAAAAAAGACTTTTAGGAAATTGTCCATGAAAATTTCCCTAACCTTGCTAGAGAGGCCAACATTCAAATTTAGGAAATGCAGACAACACCTGAGAGATGCCATTCAAGATGGCCATACCCAAGACACATTGGCATCAAATTTTTCACATTTGAAATAAAAAAAAAATGTTCTGTGAAGCTAGAGAAAAGAGGCAGGTCACTTTCAAAAGGAACCCCTCTAGGCTAACAGCAGAACTTTCAGCAGAAACCCTACAAGCCAGAAGAGATTGAGACCCTATATTTAGCTTATTAAAAAAATAAATTCCACCCAAGAATTTCATATCCAGCCACACAAGCTTAATAATCAAAGAAGAAATATAATCCTTTTCAGACAGGTAAATTTTGAAATAATTCATTACCATTCAACCTGTCTTACAAGAGGTCCTTAAGGAAGTGCTAAGTATGGAAAGGAAAGACCATTATTGACCACCACAAAAATGCGTTTACATACATAGAGCATTGCCACTATAAAGCAACCCCACAATCAAGTCTGCACAAAAACCAGCTAACAACATAATGACAAGATCAAATCTGTATATGTTAATATTAACCTTGAATGTAAATGGGATATATGCTTCAATTAAAAGGCACAGAGTAGCATATTGGATAAAGAAGCAAGACTCAAGAGATCCATTTCACATGCAATGATACCCATAGGCTCAAAGTAAAGGGATGAAGAAAAATCTGCCAACCAAACGGAAAACAGAAAAGAGCAGAAGTTGATATTCTAATTTTAGAAAAAACAGACTTTTAGCCATAATCAAAAAAGACAAAAAGAGGAGCATTACATAAAAGTGAAGTGTTCAACTGAACAATAAGATCTAAATATCCTAAATATATATTCACCCAACACAGGATCACCCAGATTCATAAAGTAAGTTCTTAGAGACCTATGAAGAGACTTATATAACTGCATAATAATAGTGGGAGACTTCACCACCACACTGACAATATTAAACAGATCATATAGGCAGAAAGCTAACAAAGATAGCTGGGACCTAAACTTGATATTTGACCAAATGGACTTAGGAGACATCTACAGAACTCTCTATTCAAAACCAACACATTACATACATTCTTCTTTTTTCCCATATAGAAAATACTCTAAAGTCCACCACACAATCAAACATAAAACAATTCTCTAAAAATTAAAAAAAACTAAAATAATACCAAACAAACTCTCAGACCACAGTGCAATAAAAATAGAAATCAATACTAAGAAAATTGCTCAAAACCATTGCATTGCATGGAAATCAAACAACCTGCCCCTGAATAACTTCTCAGTAAGTAATGAAATTGAGGGAGAAACCAAGAAGTTATCTGAAACTAATGAGAACAAAGATACAACATACCAGAATCTCTAGGACACAGGTAAAGCAGTGTTTAGAGGGAAACATTTAACTCTAAACACACACATCAAAAAGTTAGAAAGATCCCGGCCGGGCGCGGTGGCTCACGCCTGTAATCCCAGCACTTTGGGAGGCTAAGGCGGGCGGATCACGACATCAGGAGATCGAGACCATCCTGGCTAACATGGTGAAACCCCGTCTCTACTAAAAATACAAAAAAATTAGCCGGGCGTCTTGGCGGGCACCTGCAGTCCCAGCTACTTGGAAGGCTGAGGCAGGAGAATGGCGTGAACCCGGGAGGCGGAGCTTGCAGTGAGCCGAGATCGCGCCACTGCACTCCAGCCTGGGCGGCAGAGCGAGACTCCTTCTCAAAAAAAAAAAAAAAAAGTTAGAAAGATCCCAAATTACCAACTTAACATTAAAACTAGAGAAACTGGAGAAACAAGAGCAACCCAGCCCCAAAGCTAGTAGGAGAAAAGAAATAACCTAAATCAGAACTGAACTGAAGGAAATTGTGATATGAAAGAAAAACCATAAGAAAGGTCAATGAATACAGTAGTTGGTTCTTTGAACGACTAATACGATAGATAGACCACTAGCTAGACTAATAAAGAAAAGACAGAGCGAGACTCCATCTCAAAAAAAAAAAAAAAAGAAAAACAAAAACAGAATAACCAAATAAACACAATCATAAATGACAAAGGGCACATTACCACCAACCCCATAGAAATAAAAACACTCTCAGAGGCTACTATGAGCACCTCTTTGTACACAAACTAGAAAACCTAGAAGAGGTGGATACATTCCTCAAAATGTACAACCTTCCATGGTCGAACCAGCAGGAAATTGAATCCCTGAATAGACCAACAACAAGTTCTGAAATTGAATCAGTAATAACAAGCCTACGGACCAGAAAAAGCTCAGGACCACATGGGTTTATAGCTTAATTCTTCAAAACATAAAGAGCTAGTATCATTCACACTGAAACTATTCCAAAAAATTGAGAAGATACTCCTCTGTAATTCATTCATTGACGCCAACATCACCTTGATACCAAAACTTGGCAAAGACATAAGAAAAAGAAAAAAAACTCCAGGCCAATAACTCTGAGGAACACTGATGCAAAAATCCTCAACAAAATACTTGCAACCAGAATCCAGCAGCACATCAAAAAGCTAATCCACTAAAATTAAGTAGTCTTTATCCTGAGATTCAACATTGTTTTAACTCACATAAGTCTATAGACGTGATACATCACACAAATAGAACTAAAAACAAAAACTACCTGATAACTTCAATAGACTAAAAAAAGCCTTTTGATAAAATTTAGCATCCCTTCATATTAAAAACCCTCAATGAACTAAGCATTGAAGGAACATACCTCAACATAGTAACAATCATCTATAACAAACCCACAGCCAACATCAAACTGAATGTGAAAAAGCTGGAAGCATTCCCCTTGAGAACAGGAACAATCCAAGGATGCCCAGTCTCACCACTCCCATAAAATATATACTGGAAATCCTAGCCAGAGCAATCAGGCAAGAGAAAGAAATAAAAGTTATCCAAAATAGGAAGACAGAAAGTCAAACTGTTTCTGTTTTTACACAATATGATTTCATACTTAGAAAACTGAATAGTTTCTGCCCAAAAGCTCATAGATTTGATAAACAAGTTCAGCAAAGTTTCGGGATATAAATCAATATACAAAAATTAGTAGCATTTCTATACACCAACAACATCCAAGCTGAAAGTAAAATCAAGACTGTAATCTGGTTCACTATAGCCACAAAAAGAATAAAATAGCTAGGGATACAACTAACTAAGGAGGAGAAAGATCTCTATAATGGGAATTATAAAATGTTGCTCAAAGAAATCAGAGCTAACATAAATAAATGGAAAAATATTTAATGCTCATGGATAGGAATAATCAACATTGTTAAAATGGCCATACTGCCCAAAGCAATTTGCAGATTCAATGTTTTTCCTCTCAAACTACCAGTGATATTTTTCATAGAATCAGGAAAAAAATATTTTAAAATGTGTATCAAACCAAATAAGATCCTGGATACTCAAGGCAATCCTAAGCAAAAAGAAAAAAGCTGGAGCCATCATGCTACCTGACTTCAAACTATACCACAAGGCTACAGTAACCAAGACAGCATGGTACTGGTGCAAACACAGACACATAAATCAATGGAATAGAATAGAAAGCCCAGAAATAATGTTATACACCTACAACCATCTGATTTTCTACAACATTGACAAAAACAAGCAATGGGGAAAAGAATCCCTATTCAGTAAATGATGTTGGGATAACTGGCTAAATATATGCAGAAGATTGAAACTGAATCCTTTCCTTACACCATAGACAAAAAACAAAACAAACAAAACCACAAGATGGATTAGAGACTTAAGAGTAAAATCTAAATCTATAAAAACCCTGGAAGATAATCTTTGAAATATTATTCTAGACATAGGCCCTAGCAAAAATTTTATGATGAAGATACCAGAAGCAATTGCTACAAAAACAAAAATTGACAAAAGGGACCAAATTAAACTAAAGAGTTTCAGCAGATCAAAAGAAACTAACAGAGTAAACAGGCAATCTGTATGATGGGAGAAAACATTTTCAAATTATGCCTCTCACAAAGGTGTAATATCCAGAATCTACGGGAACTTAAATAAATTAACTAGCAAAAATAATCCCATTAAAAAGTGGACAAAGAGCACAGACACTTTTCTTTTTTTTTTTTTTTTTTTTTTTTTTGAGACAGAGTCAGTCCATGACCCAGGCTGAAGTGCAGTGGCTTGATATCGACTCACTGCACTGCAACCTCAGCCTCCCGGGTTCAAGCGATTCTCCTGACTCAGCCTCCTGAGTAGCTAGGATTACAGGCACACGCCACCACACTCGGCTCTTCTTTTGTTTTTTGTAATTTTTTTTGTTTGTTTTTTATTTGTAGTAGAGATGGGGTTTAGCCATGTTAGCCAGGCTGGTCTCAAACTCCTGACCTCAAGTGATCCCCCTGCCTTGGCCTCCCAAAATGCTGGGATTATAGGCATGAGCCACCATGCCCAGCCAGGAACAGACGCTTTTCAAAAGAAGACATACACATGGCCAACAAGCACATGAAACAATGTTCAACATCACTAGTCATCAGAGAAATGCAAATGAAAACCACAACGAGATACCATCTCATACTAGTCAGAATGACTATTATTAAAATGTCAAAAAATTACAGATGGCAAGCTTATGGGAATAAGGGATGCTTATACTGCTGGTGGGAATGTAAATTAGTTTAGCCATTGTAGAAAGCAGTTTTTGGAGATTTCTCAAAGAACTTAAAACAGAACTACTATTTGACCCAGCAATCATATACCCAAAGGACCATAAATTGTTCTACCATCAAGACATGCATGCATATGTGCATCACAGCACTAGTCACAATAGTGAAGACATGGAATCAACCTAGATTCCCATCAACAGTGGAATGGTTAAAGAAAATGTCATAGCATATACATCATGGAATACTATACGGCCAGGAAAATAATGAAATCATGTTCTTGGAAGCCATACAAATGGTGCTAGAGGCCATTATCGTAAGTGAATTAATGCAGAAACAGTAAATCAAATACTGCATGCTCTCACTTATAAGTGGGATTTTAACCTTGAGTACACACGGACCCAAAGAAGAGATCAACAGACACTGGGTCGACTTGAGTGGAGGGTGTTAGAGGGTGAGGATCAAGAAACTACCTATTGGGTACTATGCTTATTGCCTGGGTGATAAAATAGTCTGTACACCAAACCTCCGTTACATGCAATTTACCTATGTAACAAATGTACACGTATACCCCTGAACCTAAAATAAAAGTTAGAGACAAAAAAGATTATGTAGCCTTGATATAATGTGGTGAAAATACCACTTTATCTCTGTGGTCTTCCTCTGGAAAACACATTATTGCAGTGTATAGTTTCCCAGGGCTACTAAATTCCCAAGGATTGAGTGTTTTAAAATAAGAGGAACTTATTCTCTTACAATTATGGAGGCTAGATGTTTCAATAAGTTTTACTGGATTGAAATCCAGGTGTCCATAGGGCAGTACTTTCTTCAGGAACCTAGTAGATAATCTGTTTTTTGCCTCTTTCATCTTCTGGTGGCTGCAGCATTCCTTTGCTTGTGGCTACACAACTCCTATCTCTGCCTCTGTCTCCTCGTCTTCTATGTGTATAATGTCTCCATCTTATCTCTCCTAAAGAACATTTGTTATTGGATTTAAGTCCAAGTAAATAATTCAGGATAATCTCCTTATGTCAGTGTTCTTAACTAAATGATATCTTTAAAAACTTTTTGTAGGAAGGTAATATTTTTATGTTCCAGTCATTGGAAACTGATATCTTTTGGTGTTTTTTTTTTTTTTTTTTTTTTTTTTTGAGACAGCATCTCACTCTGTCACCCAGGCTAGAGTGCAGTGGTGCAATCCTGACTCACTGCAGCCTCCAACTCCCAGGCTCAGGTGATCCTTCCACTTCAGCCTCCCAAGGATCTTGTACTACAGGCAAGTGTCACTACGCTTGACTAATTTTTGTAGAGATGGGGTTTTGCCATGTTGCCCAGGCTGGTCTCGAACTCCTGAACTCAAGTGATGTGCCCATCTCAGCCTTTCAAGTGCTAGAATTACAGGCATGGACCACCATGCATGGCCTGGGTGGTCATTATTAAATCTACTACCAAAAGTCTAACATGAGTGAAACATTTAAAAGATCTCAATTGAAAACACTTTCTCAGTAATCTACCAGTCATCAAGGTCATCAAAAATAAGAAAAGTCTGTGAAACTGTCACAACCAAGAGGAGACTGAGGACACACGACTACTAGATATGATGTAATATCCTGATTGTGATCTTGAAAAAATAACAACAAAAAAAGACATTAGGAAAAATGTGAAAATTCTGATTAAAATATGGATTTTAGTTAATAATGATGTAGAAATATTGTTTCATTGTTTATGACAAATTTACTAAAATTATTTAAATAATTATATTATAAAAAACTGGGTATGGATATATGAAAACTATACTATTTTTGTAATTATTCTGCAAATATAAAAATGTTCTAGTAATACTTATTAAAATAAAAAATTGTATTTAAATTTTCAAAAATTGAATCAGCATTTACAAGTATCCTGGCTGTTTCTTGCAGGACTGCTATGAAACTATGTAGAACAGTAGCATGTGTTAGATGCCCTGCTTCTCTTTTGCCTTCTTCCCGCTGCAGCCCGCTCTCAGTGTGACAGCAGGAATTGTGACTAGTACGGTCTTACTGACTCACCATTGCCCCGTATAGCCTTGTGTACAGAGGTGAAACATAATAATAAATGACAGGGAAAAGAAGCGAGAGTAGCTAAGAGAATACAATTTTCTCAAATTGGATTACTAACAAGTGAAAAATGAAGACATATGGACATTTTTTCCATCAACATAAATTGTGTCATCCTCTTAAATATAGGCCTTATAAATATAATATGTAGAATAAAATTATCAAATTTAAATGTAAAACTCTTGGTTGTAAAATAGTGATGATGCACTGCACATATATACATAAAATGAAAATGGGTACTGTTTATATGTTTCTTAATATTGTTATAGAAATAGATATTATAAATAAAATTTTGTCAAGATTCATAAAGGGGTTGAGATTTATTTGTACCTGCAAACTAATGAGTGAGCCACCTACAATAACAGTATTATGAATGCTGACAGAAGACACGGGACTCACGGGTCAGAGATAAATGAATTTATCATTCTTTACAATAGCAGTAGCCAGAGTATTAGTATTTGTACCAGTTCCTCGAGATTTAGTTTCCTCAGTTTCTCCCACTTATATGAAGAGAACAAAATGATAACAGAATGAATATAGTTACATATATTCAGAGAGACAGAGAGAAAAAAATTTTTGTAAGGACTTTGCTTACATTATTATGGAAACTGACAGATCCCAAGAACTGCAGGGTGAATTGGAAGGCTTGAGATTCAGGAGAAATGGTGTAGTTCTATCCCAAAAACTGGCAGGATCAATATTCAAGATGAGCCAATGTTTCAGTTCAAGTCAAAGGCAGAGAAAAAGCTGATGTCCCAATTCAAAGGTAGCTAAATAATTTTCCTCTTAAACATCATTTTAGTTCTATTTAGTGCCTCAACTGATGAGATGAAGTGTTCCCACATTAGGGAGGGCAATCTACTTTACTCAGTCTATCAATTCAAATGTTAATCTCAGCCAGAAATACTCTCACAGACACACCCAGAATAATGTTTAATCAGATACAGTCATGCATAGCATAGCGATGTTTCAGTCTAGGATGAATTGCACATCCAACAGAGGTCCCATAAGTTTATAAGACCATATTTTTACCAGAACTTTTCTGTGTTTAGACACACAAATATTTATAAATGTGTTACAATTGCCTACAGTATTGACTGCAGTAACACGCTGTTCAGATTTGTAGCCCAGGAGCAATAGGCTATACCATATAGGCCAGGTGTGCAGTAGGCTGCACCATCTAGGTTTGGTGAGTATACTCTATAATGTTCACACAACAATGGAATTGCCTAACAATGCATTTCTCAGAAGGTATCTCCATCATTAAATGGTGCATGACTGTATCTGGACACCCCATGGCACCGCTGAGTTGACATATAAAATTAACTGTCACAGGCTGTCAGCCTTCCTGAATTTGGCTCCAAAGGAGATATTAAGCTAATTTGACAAGTAAGCCTGTTATTGCCTCTAGTGGAGACACGATCTCTAATTTCAAGGCAGCTCATGCCAAACACATCCTTGAAATGATGGTCTAGACCAAAGGCAGGCACTATCTCTACTCACAAGACATGCAAAAATACAAGAGACTATGGAGAATTGTTTACCAACAAATTTGAGATCTTCTTGTCTCCATAACTAAAAATATTCAAATGGACAAGTATTTTATAAGTGTAATGGAATGCTTTTGGCGTTTGATATGATGAGGTTAGAAGTACAAACTTACATACGTAGGAGAGATTGGGGAAAGTGCTTCCCAAACTACATATGCAGGTAATGATATAAGTTGTAAAAGTTTTAAAATTTGCCAGCGATTCCACACATAAACGTGAATATAGAACCATGGCTATGAAGAAGTGATTTGCCAGAACATTACAGAACTTAATTTTGAAACCCAGTTTTAGGTAAATTGTTCCCATAGTGTGCTATAAAAATACTTCATCATTTTTACTTGTACGTAGTTTAATAGAAAGAATATCCAGTTAATATTACGTAAATATTTTATGTTTCACTTGTATTAGATAATGAACAAATTAGGTCAGGTTGATGAATGTGTTCATTTTTCCAAATTATCTTCCTGAAAAATAAAAACAACAAACCAATAAGCCTTCTTCTAATAATACCTAAATTAAAAATATTGAAGATTTCTTCACATCTTTAAGGGATACTTATTTATGTCTTTAAAGAATACCAGTATTGCTACTGTCTCTCAACAGGTTTTGAAAGATCCATCAGCAAATTCACAATAGAGCAACATTTTTGTTAGAATTTATTTGAAGTTAATTTTCAAATTAACATTTTACTTTCTTACATACAGTATATTGCCTGCCAACTCTAAATTATAAAAACATTATTTTATTTTTATATAAATATATTCTCCAATACTGTTGGCAATAAAAATAAATATACTAACTATAATGAAACATATTTCATTATTACCTGAGGTCAACATTTTTTAAGGAAAAACCATCCAATTTACTACATAAAGCATGATAAAAACCTTTATGAAGACATCCCCAAAGTTATTTTCTTTTACACATTTATGAGCCATTACTCCTTGCCTTTTATTATGAATTTTCATATATGCATGAAATCATAGTAAAATAGGATTATGGTTTGTATATTTGGAACATTGCATAATTGTATAATCCTGTATGTACACAGTACTGTGTACCAAGAAAGTGTATTGCAACTAATATTTTTAACCCAAAATTATATTGTAGATATATCTTTGATGAAGAAAACAGCTGCAATCCATTAATTTTCATTGTTACATAGTAATCTACTTTATGAATTCACCTCATTATATGAATCTATTCTTCTGACAACAGACATTTGGTATGGTTCTACTACCTGTCATAACAAACGACATCTCTAAAAACATACTTGTATGCATATTAATGCACACGAGCAGTGATTTCTCTAGAGCTTATACCTAGGATACTCATTGCAGAGAATTAATTTACATGCATCTTTAATTTTACAAGCTAAATTCAAAGTGATCTCCAGATAGTTATAACAATTTACCAGCAGGGAACAAGCATTTCCATATTCCTATATTCTTTCCAGTACCTAGAATTGCCTGGATTTTTAAAAATCTTTGACCAAGCTGTTGTGCTCAACTTTTATATTTTATTTGCCATTTTTTATTCTTTTCTAAAACAATTGTTAGTTGTTTCTTAAACTTAACTCTCCAGGGCCCACATAAAACATTTCTACTATAACATGATGTTTTTCTCTCTCTAGAATGCTTTATGAGGATTTTTAAGTTATTTGTTAAATATATGATACTAGTATTATGCATGCATCAAAACTTTCATATTTTGAGAAATTTTATTTCTCAAATATTTCATATTTTAAGAAGAATGATAATACTATTATTCATCATTCAGATTTAAATACTTTAAATATGTCCTAAAAAATTATGGAGCAAGGCTGGGCATGGTGGCTCATGCCCGCAATCCTAGCAATTTGGCAGACCAAGGCTTGAGGATCATTTGAAGTCAAGAGTTTCAGAACAGCCGGGATGGCAAAGTAAGACAACAACTCTACAAAAAAAAAAAAAACTAATTAAAAAATTAAAAAATTAGATGGGCATTGTGTCACATGCCTGTAGTCTTAGCTTCTTGGGAGGCAGAGGTGGGAGGATCACTTGAGCCCAGAAGTTTGATACTACAGTGAGGTATGATGGCTTCACTGCACTCCAGCCGAGGGAGTGTGCTATTCTATTTCATTATTTCCTTATATACCAATCTAATTTATCCATTCATAGCCTATTCTGATTACTTGTTCATATGAGGTCCTCCTCTTGTTTTATTTTGTATTTTTATTTTTGTTCTTATGTTTCCAACATTTACTCAATCTTCATGCTATAAATACTGAACTTGACAGTATCTTTGCAAATTATGTAGTATTCTCTTTAAAATAAAAATAATCTACAGCAATAGTCCATCATCCCAACCCTACTCTTTTACTAATTTTGTGAGTCACCCATGTGATATGCTTTCCTCTATCTGTCCAATCTATCTCTATCTATGTATCTCTATCTCATCTATCTACCTATGTATCTATTTAGATATTAAAAAAGAGAGAGAGAGGAAGAGATAGTTTGTAAATCTTACAATTATCTCCAATTCCTTGTCTTGCAAAATATGTTACAATAAAATAATCCTGTATTTCTCCTTATGAGAATTTTCTAGGATATGTATTAGAGATCAATACATCTGGATCAAATGGCAAAAATACATTTTATTTTATTAGAATAAATGAAACATCAACCCACATTCCATTCATACACTAAATATTTATAAGTACCCTACTATGTTCCAGGCATAATTATTAGTGCTAGGAATACTTCTGGAACAAATATTCTTAAAAAGAAAGAAACTGCTTTAGGAAGACTCACATATTAATAAGTGTATAAAAACATTAAACATAATTAAGTTTCAATATTTATTATAATGTTACAAGAGCCATAAAAGTAGTAGAGAAGGTTTTGGAAGTCCTGGAATATAAGAGGAAGGGTGTTCATATTATGCCTCCTATAGTTTGACCGGAGACTTGATGGATTCATGCTGATATATGGAAGGGAACATTCCTGGCACATGGAACAGACATTTCAAAAGCCCTGTGGTGGAAATATAGCTTAATGTTCAAATGACAGATATAAGCTGATGTGGCTGAAGCAGAGTGACCCAATGTAGAAGTGAAATACAAGAATACTGGAGAAGGTGGAAGAATGTGTGGAGCCTTGTAGGCTTTTACTTAGAAAGACATGAAGAGTCACTGGTGGAGTTCGAGCAGAAAAGTTACATCTTCTGACTCTTCTATCAACAACATCAATAAAGCTGCTGTGTTGAGAATATGTTGTACAATGAAGATGGTGGATATAGGAGAATGCAATAGGAGGCCATTTTAATAGTAGAGGAATAAAATCATTGTAGCATGGAAAGTATGATTTTAGTAGAAAATGGAAAGTGATTAAATTCTAAATATATTTCAAAATTTGATCCAAGAGAATCTTCGAAAGATGTAATGTGGGGTATCAGAAAAATATGACTCGAATATTTTTGAGCAGTAACTAAAGAAAGACCAATGAATAGTGCATATATTGCAGAGTGTGTGAAGAGGGTTGAAGAAGTTAACTTTTGGGTATGCTAACTTTGAGATTACTGCAGATGCCCCTTCATTTATGATGGGATTATTTCTCAAAAAGTCTATCGTAAGTTGAAAATATCATAAGTGGAAAATACATTTAACACACCTAACCTAACGAACACTATAGCCTAGCCTAGCCTAAATTAAACATACTCAGAACACGTCTATTAGTCTACAGTTAGACAATATTATCTACCACAAACCTATTTTCTAATAAAGTGTTGAGTAGCTCATGTAATTTATTGAATACTGTACTAAAAGCAAAAAACAGAATGGTTATGGGTACCCATAGTACAAGTTCTACTGAACATGTATCACTTTCACACCATCATAAAATCAAAACATCATAAACTGAACAGTTGTAAATCTCTACTAGCCATACACATAGAGATCTAAAATTAGAAAGTGAATATATATATCCTGAATTCAGGAAGAGATCCCACAGATCATTTAAATATGTGAGCCATTAGTAAAAAGACAGTACTTAAAGCAAAGGATTAGATGAGATTACAGAGGCAAAGTACCTAGATAAAGAATATAGGAGGTCCAAAGATTGAACATTGAGGTAATCCCAAATGAAAAGGATGAAGTTTGCCAGCAAACAAAATAGCCATTGAGACTGAAAGAAAAGTAAGTGTGTGTTGTCTTGGACACAGTCTAACAAAAAACTGCTGATAAATAGAGTAAAACATGGACTAAGAAACAATGACTGGATTAAGAATGTGCATCAGCAGTACACATGAATTTGCATTGCCCTACATTCTCACAAGCATATTGTGGACAATCTGATTTTTAAAAATTATTTAGTGCTGTTTATAATCATGATCTTTCATTGCTAATGAGTTTGATAATTTTTTCATAATGTCATAAGATCATTTCCCTCGTTCTGGCACAGAAACCCTAAATTTTGATTTAATTGAGTATATCAATATATATACCTTCTATTTCACACTTTTTGCGTCTTGTATTTTTTTTAAAAATGCTGTCCAAAATTTATTTTATCTGTTGTATTAGTTTGTTTTCATGCTGCTGATAAAGACATACCCAAGACTGGGTAATTTATAACAAAAAAGAGATTTAACGGTCTCATGTTTCCACAAAACTGAAGAGGCCTCACAATCATGGCGGAAGGTGAAAGGCATGTCTTACACGGAGGCAGGCAAAGAGAGAATGAGAGCCAAGCAAAAGTAGAAACCCTTTATAAAATCATCAGCTATTGTGCGACTTATTCACTACCATGAGAACAGTGTAGGGGAAACCACCTCTGTGATTCAATTAGCTCCCTCTGGATTCCTCCTATGACACATGGGAATTATGGGACACATTAATTTGAAATGAGATTTGGGTGGGGACACAGCCAAACCATGTTACCTGTCATATTTAATTATTATTACACTAGTAACCCAACCTTCATTTGAGGTGTAAAATCCAACCTACTTTTCTCTTTACTGAGAACCATTTTTGATAATGACATCTCTTAAATAATTCACTCTTATTAATTTGTGCACTTTTAATTTTATGTTAGATTCTCACATATGCGTAGTTTTCTTTGGTATTCTCTATTCTGTTCTGTTGGTCTATTTTTCTTTTCCTGTGCCAATACCACATTGTTTTTCATTGATATACTTTTATAGTATTTCTTAATATCTTATATACAGAGTCCACAATTTTTGCTCTATTTCAAAATTGACTTAACTATTCATAGACATTTCCTCAAATATAATTTTGTACCAAGTTCCCAGGGTTAATTTTGGTGACATGTATATTGTTTATGGACTGATGCTGTGACAGAAAATATAATCTTGGGACCCCAAACTCACTATGCCAAAGGGAAAGTTAAGCTTGGGAACTGAGTCATGCAACACTGCCTTCCTTTTCTTCCCAAATAGCTGTAATTTTACAACCCTGTGTCACAGCCCCATCCATAAGCCATGTTCCCACAACACAGAAGGCCACATAACTCCCCAGATGGGCTCCCTCACAAATTGCTTGGAAAGAAATGCCTCGAACTTTGCTTAAATCAACCTCTATCAATTAAGACACCTGCTCCAGTCATTTTTTGGTTAACACTACAAACAGATTTTAATACCTTTAAAGTGCTAGGTCATTTTGTCTGTGTTCATATTGTACGTTTGATTTTTCATATGTTCTGTTATATCTTTCATAGACGTTTATATTTTTTGTATGAAGCCTATGCATTACTTACCATTAACTTTCAGCTAATTTATAGACCTTCTTTGCTACTATAAATATATATTAATTTATATTACATTTTCTAGTAGGTTTTGCTGAGATGAAAACATCACTGCTGACTTTTTATAATTAATTTTGTATCTGAAATAATTGCTGAGCTTGTCATTTATTTCAATATTTTGTAAGTTAATCATGTTGGGATTTCTGAGTAGATGATTATATCATCCTCCCCTTAAATCTCTCTCTCTTAGTTTTTATAATGTCCACCAAAATCTCCAGTGCCTTACTAAGTTGCCTTCACATTTTCCCTTTTTTTTCTGCTGCTCAATATTTAATGTTGATGAAAATGTGGAGAAAAGGGATCCCTTGTACACTGTAGGTGGGAATGTAAACTTGGTATAGCCACTATGGAAAACAATACAGTGATTACTCAAAAAATTAAAAATGTAATTTCCATGAGAAGAGAAAGAAAGAAAGACTTCTGTCTACCTGATGAGGCCGGCATCATAACTCACTTCATCCACCATGAAGTTTCTCAAAACGTGCATGTATGTGTGTGTGCGCATGTGCATGTACATTCCCTCAGACTCAATTTCCCTGTTACATCTGTCAGAGTTGCCTAGCCATATTATTTGGTTATCTTGTCTGCATCATGATACAAAATGTTAGCTCTGAAATTATTTGATAATACTGAAGCCCTTTTTAGCCTATTCATATTTTATACTATTTAAGTTTAATAAAAATATAAAGACTAATTCCAGGTACATCTCTATACATTTTCTAAATTTAAAAGAGAAATACGTAGTTTCCAATTTTTCTAACAAGTCATAAAGTTGAAATTTTTCAATGCCCTTTCCTCCAGTTGGCATGCTGATTTACTTCTCTTAAGCAACAAATACAATAGTATATAAATGAGTATAGTAAATAAGTAACTATTTTAAGGATTTAAAAGTATATCTATAGATGTACAGTAAAATACTGCAATTAAAATAACTGTACATTTTGTAGAAATCTGCATACAAATCACAATTATGCAAATAAATCAGAAGTTGTGAACTTTCCTTGCAATGCTTAAAGTTAAAAATAGGTTCCAGATCTAAAAAACAAATCGTATTGATTTTCTTCAATGATTTTGTTTCCATACTGACACAGCATTCAAAGCAAAAAGTAAAACAAGAAATGAGGATGCCAAAAGACCATTTGAAAGGCAATCTTAGAAAAGAGGCAAGCAGAAAAAAAGCAATATAATTGCTCAACATCAATGTTACTGCTATTTAATTCATGAGACTCTATTCTCTAGCAATGACCGAGAAACATGCTTATGTCCTTCATATTTGTTCATACAAAGAACAGAAGACTAGAGCATTTACCCATCTACTACAGCACATATCAATTGAGGCTTATCGCTAAAAATATTAAGTCTTACATAGTTTCAAGTTGTGCCTCAGTAGGCTTGCATTGTTTCAAAGAAAGCCCTGTGACTGAAAATGAGACATATAGTGTGTATTCCAGGTGACATTATCAATATAAGGCAGAAATGTTATGGAATTGACCAGCTACAGCTAAAATTAGGTTAAGCCAAATGGATATGACTATGGTCTACCAAAAGAAAGAGCTATAATCCATCAATTACACTAAATTTACTATGACTTTATTTTATTATTTTGACACAGGGTCTCACTCTGCCACCCAGGCTGGAGTATGGCAGCACAATCATGGCTCACTGCAGATTCCACCTGCTAGGCCCAAATGAATGTCTCACCTCAGCCTCCTGAGTAGCTGGGACTATATACTACCACTTTAAATTCACTTTGTCATTGGGTCTTCAAGACAATGTTTACATCAAATTAAAAAAAAAAAAACTTCATAAAGAAAGGTTATAACAGTCTCTGCTCTCATGAAAATTAGATGGATATGCAGGTAAGAATTACATATATACCCACACACACAATGTGTCATTCTGATAGTAGATGAGAATAAGCATGATAATGAATATGCAGTAAGTATAAGGACAAAAAAATAGTGTTGATATTTGTGTGGATGTTCATAAGATTTAGTAATTCCAGCCCCCTTAAAAGACTAGCTTATTTAATGCTAGGTTTGACTTAATACTCAGTCTCTAGGTGTAGAATATCTTCTAATGAAAACCTCAATAAATGTATATTGCCTAAAGAGGTTAGGATATAATAAAACCCATTTTGGATTATGGAAATAACAAGTCATCAGTGCATTCTGAAGAAGGTATATTTATCTTAAGCAAATGCATACTGACATTTTCATTTTTAGTTTAGAAAATTTATGTATATAGTTCTTGCTGAAGGAAAAGAAGCAGAAAATTCACTATGTATTTACACTTGATCATCTGTTAGCAGAGCTGAAAAATATGTAAATAGAATGAGTTGGTTGCATATATTACAACCTCTTCTTATGATTCCACTTTCATTTCACCATAAAACTGAGAAGCTTCTGAGAATTGAAAGATCTCAGCTTGCTCTTGGTTACTTACTTTCATCATTGATGAAGCACTTAGATTACAAAGCACCTGCATATTTTTGAAACGTTTTGCTTTACAGTTTGCAATAGACTGTAAGAATGTGTGCATGTGTTTATGGCCACAGGTAACAAGATGCAATAATGCAAAGGAGAATAATGCAATGAAATATTATTAGTGATCTCTCAGCAGAATTTCATATAGATGATAGCATATATTCTGTCACTACAGACAAGAGTATCTAGAAATCAACTACAGAACAATGGTTAACAATTTATTTAATACCTGAAGTGTTTGCAGTAGCACTTTGGAAAGACACTGTTTTGAGTGAATGATAAGGCAGCTTTCATCTAGATAACCTTAGGGAAATAATGGTTTTCACTGCACACATAAATTTTTCTCACATCAATGAAGTGTTCTTAACACAGCTAAGAAATTGTCACTTTTTAAAATAAATTGAGTAACTTTCTGTTATCTATTAAATAAGTGAAATTACTCATCTGAAGTAAATAACAATTTACCATTTGTGACTGATCAAGAATAGAAATTTCAGTCTTGCCATCTGTGCCAAAATCAAAGTCAAATACAAAATAAAAATGAGCTTAGGAAGGAGCACCAAAGACAAACAGTAGATGTAATATGGCAACCTAAGGATAGATTGTACAGTACATATTGGCATATACACTGGCTTCAGGCCATCAGTTGATAGGCACTGTCATTTATTTTTGTGGCTAACAGAAGTCAGTTAAATTAAGGTTGGGCAATTCCCATGGAGAAATACACATAATTAGAGACAAGAAGAGGAATGATGCATGTGTATGGTGATGAATTAATCAATGTGAACGTGCCTCAGAATTCACTTATCTGGCTCTACCTTTTAAAACAATCCTGTATCTCTAGTCCAGGTGTTTACAAATTATACTCTCTGTTTTTAATTTTAACACTGTTTTGGAAACTGATACTACTTTTATATGATGATCTTTTCATAGCAAAGTATCTCTGTTTTTTGAGGGTTTCTATCATTTGTATTCTCTGCTATTAATTATTGAAAATGATTAGACTCAGGCTGGGCATGGTAGCTCACGCCTGTAATCCCAGCACTTTGGGAGTCCAAGGCGGGTGGACACAAGGTCAGGAGATCTAGACCATCCTGGCCAACATGATGAAACTCTGTCTCTACTTTAGATCTACTAAAAACGCATAATTAGCCAGGTGTGGTGGCGCATGCCTGTAGTCCCAGCTACTCAGGAGGCTGAGGCAGGAAAATCGCTTAAACCCTGGAGGCAGAGGTTGCAGTGAGCAAAGATCGCACCACTGCACTCCAGCCCGGGCAACAGTGTGAGATTCCATCTAAAAAAAAAAAAAAAGAAAAGAAAAGAAAATGATTTGACTCTCACACTCCTTCTGAAATTAGATATATTTACTTTTAATATATTAAATTACATATATACTTATGTATTCAATTTATATTTATTTATTAAACTTCTGTGAATTAGTCTTTTTCCCTTTCACCCTCTCAAAGCCAGTTTTTGAGAAAGTAGCCTCCATAGAAATATGACTAGATTCTTTAAAGTTTTCCCCTAATTGGATACGTGGTTTACAAATATTTTCTGGCAATCTGTAGACTTTTTGTTTTGACTGTTTCCTTTGACTTGCAAAGTTATCTTGTTGTATTATCACTGGTTTTATTTTTTTTGTTTTGTTGCTTATGCTTTGGGTGTAGTAGTCAAAGAAATCGTCTCCCAGATCAACATTGAGGAGCTTTTTCCCTATGTTTTCTTCTAGGAATATATTCCAAGTCTTATGTTTAGGACTTTAATTATTTTGAGTTCATTTTTTGTGCTTGGTGTAAGATATGTATTCAATTTTATTCTTTTGTGGGTGAATATTCAGTTTTCCCAGCACCATTTACTGAAGAGACTATTATTTCCATATCGTGTTTCCTTGGGCCTTTGTTGTAAATTAGTAGACTGTATAATAAGCTTATGTTTATTTGGGGGCTATTATTCTGTTCCATTTTTTCTAGTGTCTTTTTTTTATGTCAGTGCCATATTATATTGATTACTGTAACTGTGTAATATTATATTGATTACTGTAACTGTGTAATATAACCTGAAATCAGAAAGTGTGATAACTCCAACTTTTTTCTTTTTTCTTAAAATAGTATTGGCTACTCAGGGTCTTTTGTGGCTCCATGTAACTTTTAAATTTATTTAAATTAAAAACTGTCATTGGAATTTTGATAGAGATTGCTTTGGGTAGTATGGACTTTCAAGAATATTAATCTTTTTAACCCATGAATATAAGAGACCTTTCCATTTATTTGTGTATTCTCCAATTTTTTATTAATGTTTTAAAGCAATAAAAACCTCAAAAATTGTGCAAAAAACCAGAATAGACTTTTTTTAAAGAAGGCATAAAAATGGCCAACAGACAGATGAAAATCTGTTCAACATTACAAATCACCAAAGAAATGCAAACAAAAGTACATGAGATGTCGTGTTACATCTGTTAGCATGGCTATTACTTTTAAAAAGCCCTATAAATTAATGTTGGCAAGAGTGTGGGGAAAAGGGTACCCTTGTACACTCACGAAAAATAATATGAAGGTTTCTTACAAAATAAAAAATAAAACTAACATGTGAACCAGTAATCCCTTTTCTGGGTATACATTCAAAGGAAATGAGATCAGTACTTTGTGGAGATTTCTAAGTTCCCATGTTCATTGCAACATTATTCACAATAGCCAAGATACAGAATCAACCTAAGTGTACATCAACTAATAAATACAGAAAGAAAATGTGGTGTGTGTGTGTGTGTGTGTGTATATATGTGTGTGTATATATGTATATATATATGTGTGTGTGTGTGTATATATATATAATGGGATACTAGTCAGCCTTTACAAAGAAAGAAATGCTGTCATTTGCAACAACACAGATCAACCTAGAGAACATTATGTTAATTGAAATAACACAGGTACAGAAAGACAAAAACTACATGATCTCACTTATATGGTATCTAAAAGTATCCAATCCATAGAAACAGACAGAGAGTGGAACCATGGTTAATAAGTGACATTCTATGAATATGTCCCTTAAAGTTCATGTGTAGGAAACTTAATCCTCAATGCTGTTAAGAGGTGGGATTTTAGGGGTGATTAGATCACAGAGTCTTTGTCCTCATTAACAGATTAATACCATTGTTGCAGAACTGAATTTTTTATCTCAAGAGTAAGGTCCTTATGAAGGATAAATGCAGCCCCCTTTCTCCATCTCTTGCTATGTGTACCATCAGCAATGTTATAATGTAGCAAGAAGGCCCTGTCAGATGCAAGCCCTCAATCTTGGACTTTCCAGTCTCCAGAGTTGCAAACCAATAAATTTCTGGTCTTTATAAATTACCTATTGTCAGGTATTCTGTTACAGAAATACAGAACAGACTAAGACACCAGGAGTAAAGAGAAGGAGGAAATGAGGAGACACAGGTCAAAGGATCCAAAATTGCAGTTACGTATGATGAATAAGTTGAGTAATCGAAGGTACAGCATGATGGCTGTAGTTAAGAATAGTGCATTGTGTACCAATGAATTCCTAGGAGAGTAGATTTCAGGTGTGCTACCACCAAAATAAATGGTGGTAATTGTGAAGAGATGGATATGTTAATTCGCTTGACTATAGTAATAATTTCACTATGGGTATGTATATTAAAGCATCATGCTGTACACCATCAATATTTACAATAAAATATAAAAGAAATGTGAATAACCTGTGTCCACCATGATGTGAGAAGCACAAGGACATGGAGGATAGATGGAATATCAGATATTGTGTGGACAGAAATATTAGCCAAGAGACTAGATATGTCAATAAAGAAGCAATTTTTGATGTCAGATCTCTAACATCAACCACCCTCTGCCTGCTTCAGAACCCTGACGGGTACACACCCCATGTGATGCCAGGTAGATAACAGATGAATGATGAAATGAGCCCATCCTAAATTCCTGACATATTGTGAGCAGCATTAAATCACTGTTTTAACCCATTATATTTACAGACAGGTTAGCATGGAGTAACATATAAGCAGACATTACTGATCTGATACAATTATCATACACAAATTTTGTTGCCACATGTTTCACTATACTCATTTATTTTCTAGTTTATTCAAGATACAGAGGCCACTTTCTCCTTGAGTAGCTCATCAAAACATAAGTCCTAGGTCTGCACAATGATTCTGAAAAGTCTTGTCCCTATAATGACAAAATAAAGTATTTGACTCTATTTAACCCAGATCCTTGGTGTTGAATTTAATATCCGGGCACGAAAGTCAGAGGCCAATCTTTAATTGTTATGAACATAAAATTCTAAGTTCTAGCTTTTGCTGTTCTTGGAACCCTAGCATTGCTAAAGGTTCTCCGTGGTTCAATCTTCAGCCCCTTGATGGAAACTATTAAGTACATTGTTGACAGATGGTGTTCCCTGTGTAAGACTTTTGAAAACTCTGACTTAAATGTTCTAATGGTACTTCAAATTCAGCATTTTCTAACTGAAAAAAAAAACTCTATATATTCACTTAATATTTTCTAACTTTTTCTTTTTTATTGCAGTTGCCTTGATTATTCAGTAACTATCAAATCTGTTACTGTTTTCCATATATTTTTCTTCTAAATATTTGTTTAATGCACTCTTTCTTCTCCATTACCACTGACTTCTTTCTGAGACATACAAGACATATTTATGTCTTGTGTAACACATATTTATGTCTGTGTAACACAGTTCAAACTGTCTGAGACAGTTCAAACTTCATTAAATCAAACTAAAAAAACCAGCACGTGTCAGAATAACATCTCTTATGGATTGAATGTCCGTGTCCCCTGAAAACTCATAGGCTAACATTTCAATCCACAATATGCTGACATTAGAAGATGTGGCCTTTGGGACGTGATTAGGTGATTAGGTCATGAGGGGAGAATCCTCATGAACGGGACTAGTGCCCCATACAAGGAGGAATAAGAGCTCTCTCTTCTCCCCTGAACACCTCCTCTCCTGCCATGTGAGAATTCAATGAGAATTTGTCAGTCTGCAATCCAGGAGAGGGCACTCAACTGAACTTGACCATTGTGGCCCCCTAATCTCAGATTTCCAACCTTCAAAATTGTGAAAAATAATTTTCTATTGTTTGTGAGGCACCTTCAAGTTTATGGTTTTTTTGTTATACCAGCCTGAACTGACTGAGGTCACATCTAAAAACATTACTACTGCTTACGGCAACAACCACATATTTTTTGAAAAGTTTACCAGGCCTTTTATAATCTGCTCTTAGTTTATTTTTCCTCTCTCACATTATTTTCTTTGACTTGTTTGATCAACTCAAAGAAAAGTTTGTAATTCCTTAATCTTATCAAGTTCATCCACAGCTTCAGATCTTTGCATACCATGTTCTCTCGGCCTGGAGCATCCCTAGTTCTCTTCAACGCCTCTGTTTTTGACTTTGTAAATGTTATTCAATCAGTGTGGGTTTAGCTCCCATTTCATGAAGAAAGCCTTCTCAGGTTTCCTGCAGTTTGGTTTATTGCTCGTCTAATGTATTATTTACTGTTAAGTAATCACAATAAAAATGGGAGTGACTTTATTTATTAATGTATCTTTATCATCTAGCCTCTGTGGTAAATTTTCAAACAATATTTGCTAAAGCACAGAATGAGTAAATTAATTGACTACTCTCTAAATTTTTTGAATGATTAATGTTCCAATAAGTAAATGAATTAATCTACTAATCAATACTTGGAAAGTGCTCACCTCTTTTAAACTTGGCAATAGTTCTCTCTCTCTCTCTGTGTCTTTCTTTTTTTTTTTTTTTGTTAGCTCTTACAGCGAAGGATAAATCTCTACAACTTTAAGGGATTTGGATATACTTAGCACGAAAACACCTCTTTATGCCTAGAGAAGTTAAATCTTTTGCCTAAGGCCATGTAACATATTAAAAGCAAACTGTATCACAACATTCCAGGGGGATTTCTCCACTGAAAGACATTGGTACATTAGTAGTTGCATTAGTGCTGTCTTGATGCTTCACAAATCACCACAAACTTAAGAGCTGAAAGCAACATGTATTTACTGTCAGGCCTCTGAGCCCAAGCTAAGCCATCATATCCCTTGTGACCTGCATGTATACATCCAGATGGCCTGAAGCAACTGAAGATCCACAAAAGAAGTGAAAATACCCTTAACTGATGACATTCCACCAATGCGATTTGTTCCTGCCCCACCCTAACTGATACAATATATTCTCCCCTGCCTTAAGAAGGTACTTTGTAATATTCTCCCCCAGCCCCATTAAGAAGGTACTTTGTAATAATATTCTCCTATTCTCCCCCACCCTTAAGACGGTATTTTGCAATATTCTCCCTGCCCTTGAGATTGTACTTTGTATGTCTATCCCAAACCTGTAAGAACTAATGATAGTCCCAGCACCCTTTACTGACCCCTTTTTCGGACTCAGCCCACCTGCACCCACGTGAAATAAAGAGCCTTGTTGCTCACACAAAGCCTGTTTGGTGGTCTCTTTACATGGATGCACGTCACATTTACTATCTTGCAAGTTCCATAGTCCTGTGCTTAGGATCTCACAAGGATGTATTCAGGGTGTCAGCTGGGGCTGAGGTTTTATCTTAGGCTCAAGATACTCTTTTAAGTTCACAAGGTTGTTGGCAGTACTCAGTTCCTTGGTTAGAAACTGATGACTTGTTTCTTTAATACCAGCAGAAGAGCACTTCTGTTCCTTCCAGGCTCTACACTTTAAAGGATTCAACTCATTAGGAGGTGATATCTACTCTGGATGATATTCCTTTTTGGGGGGAAGTAGGAGAGACCTGAGAATATAATGGGATATCAATTCCACTATTTTTTATCTTATATGTAAAGAGATTTTGCAGATGGAATTAATATCCTTAATTAGTTAAGTATTCTACTTGACTAATTTTAGTCAATTATAATACTCAGGTCTCTCCTACTTGCCAGGGAACGGGATTACACTAGGGCAGGAATCATTGGGCTTACAAGAGAGGTAATAGGGTTTTCTTTTAAATATTTTTAATAAAACTTCTGTTAGTTTCATTTGTTTAATGAAAGAGAATATTGATGTTAAAGTTGATACACTTTTTGACCACCTATTTCTAGTAGCATTTGCCTTCAATCACACTGAGACAACCACTATCACAAATTTGATAGATATGCACAACAGCTTTATATATGAACAAATGATAGATAATAATATTACTTGTAATTATCTTAAATTATACAAAAAATACCATTTACTTTATGTTATTGTAATAGCCCAACTGGTTTATCTTGCCCACTGCCCAGAAAAGCTAATGCACTGAGAACAGCAGGTTTTTGCAGCAAAGAGAGTTTAATTAACACAGCACTAGCCAAGTGAAAGACAGAGTTTGTTATTCAAATTAGCCTCCCCAAGAATTCAGAGGTTAGGTTTTTTAATGGATAATTTGTCAGACAAGGGGCTAGGGAATGGGTGCTACTGATTGGTTGAGGATGAAATCATAAGGGTGTGGAAAACAGTGCTTATGCCCTGAATCAGACTGTGGGTGAAGGTCAGGAGATTGATTGAATTATGAATCCCAGGTCCAGGATTGAGTCATAAATCACAGGTCCAGGCAGAGTCAGTGTGTAATCAGTTCAAAAAAAATTGCAAAATACCAACCTTGGGTTTCACAATGGTGATATTATCCATAGGAACAAGTGGGGAAGTTACAAAGTTTTTGACCTATGGTGTGGTAAGCAATTATGTAAAGGCAAGCTGTGCATGCATTCTGCTCTACCTGCCCAGTAATCCTAACATGTGGCCTTTCATTAGTCTTACAAAGGCAGTTTCAGTCCCTGAACAAGGAGTGAGTCAGTTTAGGGAGGGCCTACTATCATCCTTGCTTCAAAGGGAAACTATAATCTAAATTCCTGCCATGGTTAGCTTGGCTTAATGCCCAGGAATGTGAGAGGAAAGCCATCTTGCGAGGCTAGAAGCGATATGGAGTAAGCCATGCTAGACTCTTTCACTGTCATAATATTTGCAAAGGTGGTTTCATTATGTTGCTTTAAAATTGGTCTTTTTTAAAAAAATGTATATTTTGGGATAGTCTCCAGTGTATGTAAATTAAAATTATCTATGAAGTATTAGCTCAATGTTTTAATCTGGTGCATAGAAATTTTCTGCATTCCTAATGATTTCATAACTGCCTAACTGCTAACTTTCTTTTAAATAAGAGTTTTTTCAACATATCTGCAAATTTGTAACCTTCTGGTTTTTTGTTTGTTTGTTTGTTTGTTTTTGAGTCTTGCTGTGTTGCCCAGGCTGGAGTACAGTAGTGAGATCTTGGCTCACTGCAACATCTGCCTCCCGGGTTCAAACAATTCTACTCCCTCCTGAGTAGTTGGGATTACTAGCAGCTGTCACCTCACCTGGCTATTTTTTTGTATTTTTAGTAGAGATTAGGTTTCACCATGTTGGCCAGGCTGGTCTTGAACTCCTGATCTCAAATGATCTTCCTGCCTTGGCCTCCCAAAGTGCTGGATTACAAGGTGTGAGCCACCACACCTGGCAACTCCTAGTATTTTGCTGTGTTTTTCTAATTTCATATTTTGCCTCTGGAGTTAGGTGCACATACATTCATGGTTTCCACTTTTTAATTACTGTTTCTTTGTTAAATATGAAACTCTGTTGATCCATATGTATTCACAGATTTTGTATTTGCAAAATTCTACATGCTAAAATTTATCTGCAAACTCAAAATAAATTCTGATGACACTTTTTGTTCTTATCTGTAGACATGCTGAGAGTGACACAAAATGTTAGTCTTCTGATGTGTCCATTCCTAGCTGAAGTCAAACAAAGTGATACTGTGCCTTCTTTTTTCAGCTCTCTGATGAGTTGACCAGAGTGTGGAGACTGTCCAATCAGGGTGCTGTAGTGTGACAAGCTCCAGCTCTGGGAACCAGTGGGATGGGTTTGGATCCCAACTCTGACATCTGCTAATAGGATGTATTTATTTGTCAAACATATCTACCATTTTAATAGGCAACATATATTCCTTTATTTTCATTGCAATTACTGATATTTTTGTATAATTTCCACATGCTTATTTTTTCCAGGGATTAATATTTGCTACTTCTTCACGTTATTTTTATTTTTCTTGGTGTTTTTCCTAACCTGGTGAATGCTTTCTGCCCTTTTTCTACTTCTTTCAAGTTAGAAATTTTTTTATATTCCCACTTTAAAAAAGTGCTACTATGTATTTTACTAATTATTGCTTGAGCAATTTAGTGCCATGGGAGGGAGGTGCAGGATGCATTTAAAGTTACTTTTTGTATTTAATTTGCAAATAAAGAATATTTGTATATCAATAAATATTGTACATATAAGTAAAAAAACTGACAATAACAGTGATGCCAAAAGCATGCATAAAAAGGCTATAATTAGCTTTATCCCTGGATGACATATTTTAACTGAAAACAACTCTAGATATTACAGGTAAAAGAGATGAGGAGTTTAATTTCTTTTTTTAAAAATTTTATTATTATTATACTTTAAGTTTTAGGGTACATGTGCACAATGTGTAGGTTAGTTACATATGTATACATGTGCCATGCTGGTGTGCTGCACCCATTAAGTCGTCATCCCTTCCCCCTCCCCCCTCCCCTCTCCCTCCATTCCACAACAGTCCCCAGAGTGTGATGTTCCCCTTCCTGTGTCCGTGTGTTCTCATTGTTCAATTCCCACCTATGAGTGAGAACATGTGGTGTTTGGTTTTTTGTCCTTGCAATAGTTTACTGAGAATGATGATTTCCAATTTCATCCATGTCCCTACAAAGGACATGAACTCATCATTTTTTATGGCTGCATAGTATTCCATGGTGTATATGTGCCACATTTTCTTAATCCAGTCTATCATTGTTGGACATTTGGGTTGGTTCCAATTCTTTGCTATTGTGAAGAGTGCTGCAGTAAACATACGTGTGCATGTGTCTTTATAGCAGCATGATCTATAGTCCTTTTCTTATCACTTCAATACCTTTAATCGTTGGCTACAAGTATTGATGTCTTTTATATGAACTGTACAGATGTTAACAATCACTTTTATCACAGTCAAAAAGTGATTGGAGTTTAGCATGAATTGTTACTTCAGCTTTTAATGCTTTTTTTAGTAATTTATGCAATTATTTGGGTCAACTATAAGAATCTTTACTTTTCTTCTGATCTTAGTCATAACAAAATTTTGTTTATATCTCAAATAAATCATGAAAGTTATTAGGTATTTTATCAGGAATACTTTATAAGAAAGTAACATAATTTAGAAACATTATAATTTATTTATCTATGTGTCAAGGCAATTCAATATAATTTATTTTAATAATGTAAAGCCAAGTATTTGAGAAAAATCAATTATTAGTTTTAGGGGATTGGAAAATAAAAAATATTATGCTCAATTTTCTGTAATTATTTTAATAACTATGCTTTTTTACAACTCTCAGGCTTCTAAATTGGAAATTTAATTGGGTTTAAATGTTAAAAATCAAACACTTTCCAGTTATTTATTTATATATTTTTATTTTATTTATTTTTTTGAGATGGTATTTCACTCTTGTTGCCCAGGCTGGAGTGCAATGGCGCGATCTCAGCTCACCACAAACTCCGCCTCCCGGGTTCAAGCAATTCTCTTGCCACAGCCTCCCGAGTAGCTGGGATTACAGGCATGCACCACCATGCCCCGCTAATTTTGTATTTTTAGTAGAGATGGGTTTTCTCCATGTTGGTCAGGCTGGTCTTGAACTCATGACCTGAGGTGATCCCCTGCCTCGACCTCCCAGAGTGCTGGGATTACAGGTGTGAGCCACCGTGCCCAGCCACTCTCCAGTTATTAAGAAAATCTTAGAGATATATAAATTCTATAATATGAAATTTGGGATATAGTTTCAAAATTATTTTTTTCAAATATTACCTTTTACTCTTCCTGCCACACATACATTGATAATAAAAGCATACAGCCTTCCCTTTCTTACACAAACAGTATTTGAATCTTAAACTTCATACAGTTTATTGACCACTCCAGCACTATAGTGCTGCCACAGGTTGTTTAAATGTAACACTTATAATGTTGATCATTTATTTTCTTGCCTCTTAAAATCTTCAATTTTCATTTGTTAGTCACTATAGTAATGAAGCTGCAAAATGCTGTACTTACTCAGAATGATCTCTAAGTGAATTTAAAAGCATATGTTCTCATCTTAATTAGACATTCTGTTTCAATGAGATATATTGATGAAAAATGTCATTATGTAACATGTTGTCTTTATATTCTAGAAGAACATAATGTAGCATTGTATTTGGGAGTTAATTTTCAATTGCTTTCTCTAGGTTATGTTCAACTTTCTCTACTCTGCTCTACCTCGAAAGATACCTTGACTCCGCCAGAGAGCATCAGCCCAAATGTGCTTGATCTCTGGCTTCGTCTTGGGTTCAGTCAATCAGAGTTACAGATCAGAGACAAAGGCAAGAACTATTAGAACCATCTCCTCTCCAATTCTCCCATCTTCATAGACCACCTCAGGATCTATATCATTACTTACCTTACTTCACGATCTAGTAACAAGATGTTTGCTTCCTGCCTCTGCAGGCCTAAGGGTGGTATAAAAAGCTTCACATTTTTTATATGCCCTGGATATTTCAACGTTCTTGTGAGTCCTCTTGATACTGTCCAGATCTCTGTAAACAGACAGAGATCTTAGTCATAACAAAATTTTGTTTATGTCTCTCAAACAAATCGGGCCAGGCGCGGTGGCTCACGCCTGTAATCCCAGCACTTCGGGAGGCCGAGACGGCAGGATCACGAGGTCAGGAGATCAAGACCATCCTGGCTAACACGGTGAAACCCCGTTCCTACTAAGAATACAAAAAAAAATTAGCTGGGCTTCGTGGCGGGCCCCTGTAGTCGCAGCTACTCGGGAGGCTGAGGCAGGAGAATGGCATGAACTCGGTAGGCGGAGCTTGCAGTGAACCGAGATCGCGCCACCGCACTGCAGCCTGGGTGACAGAGCGAGAAAAAAAAAAATCACAAAAGTTATTGAATACTGGATCATGAGGAATAATCTACTAGAAAGTAACATTACATTTTGCTCAAATTCTACCCAGTCTGCATCCTGCTATTTGCCAAAAACCAGATTTAATTGATTTGGTAGATATCCTCTCATGCTTCCCATCCCCTGCAATAAGAATAAAATAATCTCAGTCACGTCTTGTCACCTGATGTTCTTAGAAGTAAATAATTACATTAAATTTTATACAATTTGTCTTTAATCGAAATATGTTTTACACTTTAAATATAGGTCAAATCAAAAACTAATTTATAATAGGTCTAAAGTGTTTGAAAGTTAATGTGAACACATAATTGCCATGCCACTGTTAGCAATGCTTTTATTAAGTGCCTAATTTTTCGCTGTGCTTCATCAAATGCTTAATATGGAAAATATTTAGTAACAATTTATGTTATTTCCATAACTTATGATGTTATCCTGTTTCCCTACTTTTTTCCCAATGTACATATTATGCAATCTCTTATGTGATTGTTTCTACAGCTCAATGAATTACAAATGATTAACTCCAGTCTCTGAGGAAGGTCATAGTCCTTGTCATGTCATTTGGCATTACTTTAATATGGGAGGACACTACAAAACCAATACAAACTGTTCTAACTGGATTAGCTCATTCAGTTAATCTGTCTTAAAAGATGCTCTTCAAAATATATGCACTCAAAATCTCAAACCCAGAGAGATCACTATTCCTCTAGATAGAGGTTCAAATTAGTAGGGGTTGGAAATTAAAATATAAACACACACACACACACACACAAACACATGCACTTTAACTAAAAATATTAATAAGATGTATGTACTCTTGTGATTTTTTTTAACTTACATTTCTCTCCACTCAATATAAGTCTCCAACTGAAGAAACAGTTACTGAACAATGCATCAATATGGAGATCAGATTTTCATTAAGATGACAGTATGTTACTACGAAGATTAAAGAACAAATTGGAGCCTTTCACTCAAAACATGAAAAATCTATTCAAACTGCTGAGTTCTACTTCATCCTCCCCTGCCTCAACAGTACATCAGTGTCAGATCTTTTTCTTATTCAAGCAACTAAAGAGGGAATTGCTGTGTCTGAAATTAGATTGTCATAGTAATAGCATTAATCTTAATCTCAACTGTTTAAGAATGCTCTTCAAATTTTGATTTTCAACATATATGAAGCATGAAATAATTTTTTACTGTTTGAAAAATCATGACAAAGACCACATAACATAAACTTTACCTTCTGAACTATTTTTGAGTGTACAGTTCAGTAATGGTAACTATATTAACATTGTCGTGCAAAAGAGCTCTAGAACTTTTCCCTCTTGCAAAACTGAAACTCTATGTCCACTATAACAACTCCCATTCTTTCTCTCCTCTCAGCCCCAGAAGCTAAAATTCTATTTTCTGTTTTGATGAGTTTGACTATTGTAGACATGCTACAGCATTATTCACAATAGCCAAAGTGACAACAACCCAAATGTCTATCAACTGATACATTGATAAGGAAAATGTTTTCACACATTTTAGGTAAGAAAATGGCAGTTAGAGAGACGCCCCAACATATTTGTTCTTTCAAATGTACCTTAAAATCCCTTAATATTTTTCCTTACAAGATCCTTTTGAAATTGTTTAACTAAACAAATAATTAAATCCCTATGAAACTGGCTCCTTGACCTTGACCCTCTGTGGCAACTATTCAAATGTTGCATCCCATTCCAAAGAAAGTAGACACAGGATTTTCATTCATTCTTAAGTGTTCAGTTCAAAATCTGCAGATATATTTTTCTATTTAAACACAAACTCCCACCAAGCATGCATGCATGCATGCATGCAGAAAAACACCTATACAAATAACACCACTTCATAAACTAAGACACAAACCAATAAACCAAAGGCAAATGAGAAAAGCAATCTCTATACATGTTTTTCTTGAATAGTCTCCTTGGCCATTATTTAATTTATATTTCCACTATTTCAGTATTTTAGCTCAAATTTCTCCAAAATTGTTCCTGACACCCTACACCAATCAAAACCACTCCATGTCTATAATTTGGCCAGAAAAAATATTAAAATTGTTATAGGCTATTATTTTCACACAATAAACATATACACAAAAAGAGAGAAAATCAATCATGAGCTTTGAAAACTTTTATTGATGACTATATTTTCCATGCCAGTGTTCTAATTCATCCTTAAAATAATTCATAGAGGCATCATGTATAATGCGGCTAAACACTCCCAACTGACTGCCTCCTCTACCCAAGACAATTACGTTAAACGTATTCTTTCCTCACACAAAGAACAGAGGATAAGATTTTTCTTCCTGTTAATGAAACTGTAACTATAATGACAATAAACTTAATTTTAGATAAATCACTGAATAAATACAGGCTACTTCTGACTAGTACTCATTTTTTAATTAAGCTAAGAAATATAACAAATAATAGGTGTAGATGATTATTTTATTCTATAGGATTTGTTACATTTTTGTACCCTGATGCGAGTACATAAACACAACCTTTTCCAGTAGTCTCAAAAAATGCACTGCTCTAAAGAATGTGTTCTTTTTGGAGAAATCTATTTTTTAAGCGTGATTAACAGTATTGAAATACCTTATAAATTACTGAAATCAGAATAATCTGTAGAAGATGTTGCTATGAGGAGTAAAGTCATACCAGTAGAATACCATTTTCAAATTTTACTTGTTCCTTGAACTTCAGCACAGCTACTGGGAGGTTGGGTATGGTCATTAATTTGTGTTCAGCAGTGATATGGTTTGGCTCTGTGTCCCCACCTAAGTTTCATGTTGAATTGAAATCCCCATTGTTGGAGGTGGGGCCTGGGAGGAGGTGATTGAATCATAGGGGTGGTTTCTAATGGTTTAACACCATACCTCTCCAGCGATCTCGTGATAGAGGTCTCAGGAGATCTGGTTGTTTGAAAATGTTTAGCATCTCCCTTTTCACTCTCTCTCTCTCTCAACTGACAGCTATGTGGGTATGTGCTTGCTTCCCCTTCACCATCCGCCATGATTGTAAGTTTCCTGAGAGATCCCCAAAAGCAGATCCTTACAGAACAGTAAGTCAATGAAACCTCTTTTCTTTATAAATTAAGCAGTCTCAGGTAGTTCTTTTTTAGCAGAACAGACTAATAAAAGCAATATCAATGTACAAGGACCGACATAAAAGACCATCATTTTTGTAGAATTTTTGTGTAAACACAGAGAAATTTTCTTTAATGGGGTCCATCCTGTAGAGTTGCCAAAAGAAAAAAAAAAAAAGGAATTTCCAAGTGCAAAAGCCACAAGCCTGGTAAGCCTCTCACAATTTCATCAACTTTCAGTTTCTAAAATATACTTTCATTCACCTATATTTTTGAGGAAAATTATAAAATTAATGTCACTGTTATTTATACTTTTACTACTACAGATATTATTAATGGTAACTATTCATGTAACATTGACTCTTGTGATGGAGTGATCATTATCCCTCAATATTCTTTATAGCCTTTTCCTAACTTTACAAAAATCTAGAGTTTCAGGTTGTCATCAGATCACTCAGAATAAATATTACATTTCCCAGCCTTTCTTGAAGCTAAGTGTCCCCAAATGTCCCAGTTTCACTCAGTAGGATATAATATAGGTGTCCTATGGCAGCTTCCAGGAATCTTTCTTAAGAAATAACTAATATTTGCCTTTCTCTTCCTTTTTGGATGCCAATACTTAGAATGAGTATGTCATAGCTATAGCCCGATCTCAAATTATATAATAAAGGCTCCCTAGAAAAAGCTGAAACCTGAGGAAGTGAGAATCCTCTTTTACAACACAGAGAAAATACTTTACTTTCCCACCAAAGTAATTATAGAATAATTAAGCTTATGAAGGAAGTTACCAGCTTACATCTCTTGTATACAAGCACTTTTATTAAAATTCATTGATATAAATGTATGCTAATTTCACACTTAGACCTTGGTTGGTGAATTGCACTTTAAAAAATTCATTCAGCTGTGGATATTTGTGTCACACACACACAGATCTTCAGCTACATTTGGACACAGGATGCTTCTTTGTGTCCTAGCTGACTGAACATATCACAGGTGGAGTTTACCATATCTAAAGTTTTCTGAGAAAAGGTTCTTTCCCCAAATGCCAAGGTCTCAAGAAGCAGATCAGGCTTGGTTACTGACTAGACCAAGATAAACAATGGGGCCTAGAAAACCACAAGGTCTGGAATAATTGGTCTGTTTGGGAAGGATCATGGTAATTAGCTCAGCTGATGAGATAAACTTTTTCTTTAACTAGAAAGTAAGACGAATTGCTTGTTCTAAATGAGTGAATACGATAGTAAAGTCATCTAGAGAAACAGAACTGCTTAGTGAAAGAGAGAGAAGGAAGAATCAGGTAGGTCCTCAAGTTGGTTTATTAGGTTGATGCAAAAGTTATTGTGGGTTTGTCATTACTCTTAATGGCAAAACACGTAATTACTTTTCTACTAACAAAATAGGTCCTGAATGACTTTTCATTCTCAGAATAAGTGATATATTTTTACATATTTTTTAATAAATATTTACTTTTTCTTATAACTAAAGGAAAGTCACACAGGGGACTGAGTAGAGTGATTATTGTAAATAAATATGGCACTAGCTGTGGTTTCAAGGCAGGGCATGACTCAATGAATAAATCTTCATTCTTACATGGCAAATGCAGTTTATACTGATGAAGGTGGTAATTAATCAGGTGTTTGTTATCACCTGGGACCAGAAAATCAGCCTGTTAATGGTGAGAATGGAAAAATGTTGTCTCTGCCTTTCATAAATACTAAAAGAATAAGGAGTAAAAATATCCTATCTAATGGCTTCTTCTCAGAGCAAAAGGCAATTAATAGCGAAATGAAGAAAAATTCCCAAACAGCTTGCCTGCTTACAAAGATAAGGGAATTCAGTATCACTTTGTGAGCATAGCAGTATTCTTCTCTGTGACCTCATACAATAAGAAGAGAATATTACCCAAAGTCCAGGACATCACCTGTCCAATTGTCATTACCATTCACGCCACTGCCTACTTTTGTGACACAGAGTTGTTCCTTGTGAGGCACCATGAACAGAAAATAAACCCAGAGGTAATTCTTCTCTCAGAGAGCAAAATCAGCAATCTTCCTGACTTTGGTCATGTCATACCAGTAGACTAAACAAGTCTTGACACCAAAAAAACCTTTTGACTTTTTCTGGCTGTAATTTTCTTCCAAGTTTTTCACTGAAACTTCTCAACAATTCCCAGTGACCTCTGCAACTAATCTTATTTACAGAGATGTTTTCTCATTATTTATAAAGAGAAATATGAATAGGGCAGAAATATGAATAGGCAGATACGTGGCATAGATCTGAGTAGTTGTGCACCAGTTTCTACTAGCAATGTTTCTTCTGGTTTCTTGTGGTAATGTCAAATGCCTTCAATTCCTCCAGCTGGCTCTGCAGATGATTAGTGCTCCCTTGGAGGAATTGAATGGTTTGAGAAAGACTAAGAACATTTCGCTGTGAAGTATTGTTGCCAGTCAACAAGGTTTGCTTATCTTTCTTCCAGCTACCTTGCTAGGACATCTAATTGTAGGTATAACTTTGTGAGTGGTCCACTTATATGCCACAGAACCTCAGCTTTTTAAATCAATTACTCAGTGTCCTGGAAGTGCTCGAAATTGGTTGTGAACCTCTGAAAAGAATCCTACAACTCAAGATCTAATTCAGTAAGATGTTTCCACAGACTGTCAAGCTGCAAATTTTGTTGGAGGTTGTGCTGGGAGATCTGGTGGTCACACCAGTGCTTTTCCTTTATCTCAAGTGCCTTCCCCACCTGCCAGGTCCATCACCATGTCAGTTGCATCTTCCAGGGAAGCAGGCTCCCAGTACTTTAGTCAGCCCCAGTGGCTGCCCCATGTTTCCCAACAGGCTCTTCCATGTCCAGTGAGAACTGATTTCGGAGGCCCTTCTCTATCTAAGCTATGCCTCATAGGTGTAAGTACCACATCTCTCCCCACAGCCTGGAAATTACCAATTGCAAGTGGTTTTGCAAACTATTTACCACAATCCTATTAGAAAAACATCAAAAATTAACTGCATCAGAAAAATTATAGAAAATGGTTACTATGTAGAACAATGGCCTGTGCCAGCTTGAGAAGTGATTGAAATCACTTCTCATATATATGTCACTCATGTCACTGCATTCCTGGTTCCAGGTAGTTTGGTGGACAACCTAAGGGGGGAATGAACATTTGCTCTTCCTCTCTCCATAATCCCTTTGCTGATGTTGTGTGTCTCATAAATCTTCTGCTTATTCTCCAAACCAAACAGCATACAAGTGAGTTTATAATTGTAGTTTAGAATATTTTCATAACAAGTAATAAATGTGTACTTTTATTCATACTGGATTATACTTTCTTTCATAAAATCATCTCCAGGAATTTATGACGTGGTAAAAAGGAAAGTGATTTGTAAGAATCTCTGGTCTTTTAAGTTAATTGACATCAAATAGCACTAAAAATCACCACAACTTGTAATCTATTGTAATCTACTGCATAGCCTTAGTAGGCTGAGTGAGGAGAATCCGAGACTGTGATAGGTGAAATTAAAAAGATAGATAGTTTTGTGACTAGAAGAGCTTTCTTAATACTTAAAACTGAGCGGGGAAGTGCCTAGTTTTGACTGATATTTAGACATTTTTCCTGGAAATGTCCTCAAATAATTTAAATTTTTAATACAAAAATACTTCTCACAAACTTCAAAAAGAAAAAATTTTGCTAGATTCAGGAAAATCTTGCCTGAAACTTTTAAGTTTTTTGTTTGTTTGTTTTTGTTTTTTCTCTCATGGAGATGGAACTAGGAGAGTAGAACTGAGAAGAGTTTTAAGAGATTTTGGTCATCCAGGTGGTTGGAAGCTAAAAATAGCCTACATGTCTATTTATCTTATCTTAACCAAAATTTTACTTGTTTTCCTTCTTAATTTGGCTTTCTTTTCAGCCTAAGGAAAGAATATCTTCTGCAGATAAAGTTGGGTAAGAAGAAGAAGGAAAAAATATAGTATTAGTGCATATTTGCAATTAACTTGCTGTCGTGAAGGTTAATTAATAATCAGGGAATTAAAAGCTGAGGAGAAGCAAGATTTTGTCAAGAAGCATATGGCAAAAAGCATGTGACATACAGGGTGTCTTAAAAGATAGCATCCTGGGAATTACCATCAGCAATAGAATAGAGTTAAAGAAAACTTCATTGCTTTACTTAACATGCATTTAGTAAAGTCCATCTCATTTAAGTCAAGGTTACTCAACCTTTGTGTATTGACATTCTGGGTCAAATAATTCTTTTTTTGTGGGGGTTGTTCTGTGCATTTCAGGATGCTGAACCACATTCCTGGCCTCTACTCAAGAGTTACCAATATTTCCCTCCCTCATACCCCTCTAGTAGAGACAATCAAAAACTGACTTAAACATGACCATATGTTCCCTTTGGTACAAAATCACTCCATTTGAGAACTTTTAGTAAAAAAATAATATGTGTTTTTCTCCAATTGGGTTTCTGCACATACAGAAGGAAAATTTGAAAGTATCGAGAAATCTACTTGCAGGAAAATTGACCAATCATTTTTATTTGTATAACCTTTTACGGAAGTATAATATACATACAAAAAAGTGCATATATCCTCAATGAACAGACCAGTGAATTTTAACACACTGAGCACACCTGGGAAACTAGCATTGAGATCAAGAAATAGAACATAACCCACAACAGTTGGTTCACCTTGTGCCCTTTCCCACATTCTACCTTCCAGGGGTAACGATTTTCCTGACCTCTAACAGCCCAGATTGATTTTGCCTGCCTTTGTCCTTTCTGTGAATGAAATCAGAGGGTCAGTAGTCTTCTGTCTGGGTGTTTTTCCTCTCAATATTGTTTTTATAAGATTCATTCTCCATGTGGTTTTACATTATTTTCATTAATGCTTAGTGTCAGATTCTATAAATGTAGCTCTATCTACATGCTATAAATAAGCATTTGAGTAGCTTTCTTTTCTTTGTTTATCATGAATGAAGCTGCGATAAATACATTTAGACAATGTTGTGTGTATGTGTGGGTGTGCATGTGCTGTGTGTATGTATAAATATGCTTCCATTTCTATTCAGCATTCACTCAGGAGTAGAACTGCTAGACAATCAGAAATGTGTTTGTCCACATTCATAGCCAATATACCTAACACAATGTACCAAAAAGATTGGCTTTTCCCCACTGTAACAGAGTGTTGTCTTTTTGATAAATCAGGTAAACACATGTATATTGATCTATTTATAGACTTTCAATTCTTTTCCATTACTCAGTTTGATATTTGTTATTGTGAGTCTTTCTGCTTTGTTCTACTTTGAGGCTGCCATGAAAATGTTTGCCTTCTAAAACACCATACAAATTTAGGAATCAGCTCATCAATTTACACACAGACATACAAACTGTATATTTCTGGCATTTTGATAATGATTGCATATACTGTACTCTAATTTATAGATCATTTCCATCTTTAAAATATCAAGTCTTTCCATCTATTTGTGTGATATATACTCAATTTCTTTAAGTATTCTTATATTTGTTGAGTTTTATAGTTCTCAAGATAGAGCCCTAAATATGTTTTCTTGGATTTATTTCTCAGCATGTTATATTTTTGATGCTGCTATAAATATATCTTTTCAATTTGTATTCAATTTAATTGGTCTGTTCTTATCTTTATTATTTATTTTCTTCTACTTTCTATAAACATGTTTTGCTGTTTTTTGCTTAGTTTCTTATGGTGAAATCTTAAGTAATTTAATTTTAGCCTATGTTTTTTGAAAATATATAGCTTTTATGGCCATGAATTTTTCCATAAGCACTTCTTTAGCTTTATGCCATTTATTTCAGTACATTATTTTCACTATAATCCACTTAAGAATATTTTCTAATTTTTGTTTTAATATTTCAGCCATTCTTTACTTAGAAATGTGCATTTTGTCATATGGTCATTACGCCAGCAACCCTAGAAAATTCACTTTCGGATTCTAACATTTGTCTTTAAATTATTTTGAATTTTACATAGTGTACCATCACATACTCTGTGATTAATAACAGTTTTTACCCTTCTTTTCCAATTCTTATGTTTTTCTCCCCCTATTGTTCACACTACAATGTCTAGGACCTTAACTGTTAGGCAATACAATCTAGTTATCATTCCAATCCCATCAAATATGGAGCTGGATTGGAATGGATTGCAGGCTTAGTAAGAATTTTCTGGTTTGCTGTTCTTTCTAGAGTGGTACCCACCTAGACTTTTGACTGTGAGTATGAAGGCACCCTCACCTCAGCCATGAAGGAAGATTCAGTGATACCCTGTGATATTCCCAGGCCATTTCTCCACTTGTCACCACACACTGCTGCAAATTCCAGCAAATATTTTACAAGGGATACAACAGTGAATACGTTGGAAGCACCACTCTTAGCATGTCTTTGTTTTCTGGGCATCTAATGACTACTGGAGATTTTATTCTGCCAGTTTGAAAGATTGGCCACTCTTAAGTCTTCTCTGTGCTCCAGAACTCAGGAAACTACCACTGATAATCTTGGTAGTATGCTTGAAAGCCCTTGAGATTTTAGTTTTTTTCTCCAGCCCTCCTCTAACACTTAGAGCTTTGCTGGCATCTGTCCCCTGGCAACGGACCTCTGCCTCAACTAAGCTAGACCTTTAGCTCCTGCCCAGGTGTGACCAGCGTCCCCAGGTTGGAAAAACTAGCCAATAACAATTAGCTCAATCCAGAAAGTTTCTTTTTCTTTTTAATTTTAGTTCAACAAGTCATGATCATTTCTACAGATCTTGGATACCACAAAAAAACCCACAATTCTTGTCATTTATGTGAAATAGTTTTCTGGTTCTTGAAACAAATATTGGCCTTCATCTTCCTACAGTACTCTTCTTTGGTAGCAGAAATCTCCCAATCACTTTTTTCTTAAATATTTCTGTCACTAAAGTGAAATTAATATAACAAAACCTATGAAAGAACACAATTTAGTGGCACTTATTATTTTCAGAATGGTGTGCAACTAGCACTTTTAATACTCCAAAAACGTTTTTATCACCTAAAAAGAAAATCTACTTATTAAGCACTCATTCCCACTTTCTTCCTCTTCACTCAAGCTCTGAGGACTACCAATCTGTCTAAAGATTAATTACTCTGGATACCTCATGTCAAAGGAATTGTGAAAGGAAAATAAATCTTGGGGCCCCAAAATCACTAAGTTAAAAGGAAAAGTAAAGCTGGGAACTGCTTAGGGCAAACCTGCCTCCCGTTCTATTCAAAGTCACCCCTCTGCTCACTGAGATCAATGCATATCTGATTGCCTCCTTTGCAGTGGATAATCAGAAACTCAAAAGAAGGCAACCATTTTTCTCTTATCTACACCTGGAAGCCTCCTCCCTACTTCAAGTCTTCCAGCCTTTGCTTCAAGTTGTCCCATCTTAATTGATGTCTCATGTCTCCCTAAAATGTATAAAATCAAACTGTGTTCTGACCACCTTGGGCACATGTCATCAGGACCTCCTGAGGCTATGTCATGGGCGCACGTCTTCAGCCTTGGCAAAATAAAGTGTGTAAATTAACTGAGACCTGTCTTAAATTTTGGGGGTTCACATACAAGTGACCTTTTTTACTTATTTTGTTAGCATATTTTCATTGTTCACCCATGCTGTATCAAGTATCAGAACTTCATTCCTTTTTGTAGTTGAATTTCATTGTATGTATATGCCAAATTATTATTCTTCTAATGATGGACATGAGTTACTTCCACTATTTTGCTATTGTAAATAATGCTGCCATAAATATCTTTGTACAAGTACTTCTTTGAATACCTGTTTTTGATTCTTTTGGGTTGATACATAGGAGTGATTCATAGGAGTGATACATAGAAGTGATGGGTCATGTGGTAAGTCTATGTGTAACTTTTGAAGAGCAGGCATTTTTTTTGTTTAACTTTTTTAAGGAAACAGTTGATTTGAAGTCTTTATCTAGTAAGCCCAAAGTCTGCTTCTGCAGGGACGTTTTCTATTAATTTATCCTGTGAAAGGATCATTTTATCTTGTTTCTTCAAACACTTTGCATTTTGTTGTTCTTGTTAAGAAAGAGGACTTTCTAAACAGTGTAATGTGCTAACTCTGGAAATCAAAATGATCCCCTTGTTCAGTGTTTTGTTGTTGTTTTTACCCTTGGCCTGGGATGTAGTTGTTTGCTTGTTTAGTTATTTTTATAACTGTTAAAATGACCGTATTCCTCACATACGGTCTCTAAAATCTGTTTCTTTAGCTTGTGGACAAATAGTGTTTGCTCAGAGATTTCTTTGAACATCGGAGACAATAATAATAATGATGATTTAAAAAACAGTGTTGGGATACGTTTTCAGCTTTCAGCCAGGGCCTCTACATATCTGTCTTAGCCTTTGCTTCCTGCTTGCATTGAGCCTAAAGATCTGCCACAAATGAAAGCCTAGGTCTTTTCTAAGCATGTATGCTTTCCTAGGCTTTCTGTGGTTTACTAAATTTTTAGTACAGAAGAGTGCTTTATAACTCCCTAATTCTAAGAGTCTCTCATCCTCATCCCACGTTTTCAGCATATCTCATTTGGCTCCGTAGTAACCATTTGCCCCAGGCAGCAGCAAATTGTTCATTTCCCTTTCACTATTTTTGAGTGATGCCCTCTGCCTAGTAGCTAGTTTTCTGCTCTGAGAGACTTCCAAATTAGGTGAAACAAAGACGAGCTTCTTGCTTCTGTCTTTCCGGTAGCCCCAAAACTGGTCAAAACAAATATGCAATTCTTTGAGAACAAGGTCTGCTCTGCTCCCTCTGGAACCACGGACTGGAAACACAGATCGCTGTATTTAAGGCTACTGCCAAGCTGGGGTTGGGGGCAGGGACAAAGGAAAGCTAAACTGCTGCAAAACTTATTTTCTAAATCCACTGATTCTTGATTCAGCACTTGCTTGCTCTAAACCTTTGAACCTTTGACTATTTTTCAGTTTCAACAAAGTTGATTGACAGTTTTTGATTTTTGCTTTTTGTGTGTGTGTGCATGTTGTTTCTGCGATGGGACAAGTTCTTGGAACTACCTGCTCTGCCATTTTCAGTGACTGCACTTCCTATTTTTGTTTCACCCAACTTCAAAGTCTTTGCCCTAGAGAGCTACTATTAACTTCTTATGAATCACTGCCCATTACTGACATGCAGTACCAAGGTTACTGTCTCCTAGCTCTCTCCTGATCCTTTCAGAATTCTCTAACAAATTTAAAGTGGTTAGTTGCATCTCCTCCCAACCATTTTTGAGTGCACAACTGGTACACACCAAACCGAATGACATAGTCTTACGACTTGGAAATGATATGGAAACCTATATATCTATATATCCATATGGAAATTATGTATACACACGGACATATACACTCTCACACACACAGTACACACATACTTGGACATTAATTATGACTGGCATACATACATGGAAAATATATATGACTGGCAGCAAGGAGAGTTGGTACATGCTATATTACTAAATATTTTAAAAAATTGTCTCAAATAAGATGATACTCTTAGCTGTCCTATTTATTCTTTGTAACTTTAGAGGACTGGGACATGAAAAGGTTTAATTGGCAACATATGCAGCAATTCCAACTAACTTTATTCAGTTTCTGAATCCCTGAAGGAGATTTGACTGTCAAATCTGTAGTAGTTTAAGAAGGAAACTTGAGTCACTCTTTCTCTTCCTCGTAGAGTAATGGCTGAGTTCAATCTGTAGAGATTAAGAAGGTTTAATAAAAAGAATAAAGATGCTGTACTTTGCATTATTTTTATTTAGGACATTCCAAAAATGGAGAAAAATTTTACTTTGATTAAGATATCTCTATGAGAACTTTAATGAAGGGAAGAAATTTATATTTAATCTGGGGTAGAGCTCAATTTACTGTCTGGGCTTTGCTATCATGAAGGAATCTATATATGACTTCTTCCTTCATATTAGTCTCTATATGAGTGGTTAGGTTGTTCAGTGTAAGTAAATAAACAAAAGAAGGCTCTCATGGTATCAATAAGGCACCAAATAGTTGTGTACATTTCTAATATAGTGACATCTGCACAATAATGTTTAACAAACTTTTTGGAAAAAGATAAAGCAAAGATGTCTAAAATTAGCAGCTTCTTTGCATAGAATGTAAATGCAAACCTAAAATTTTAGCAAAAACAATGAATTATCATTACAAGTTTAGTATCAAAAAGCTAGCTGTTACTTTTGTTAGAAGAAACACTTTAGACAAATTTAATTTAACAATTTAATTGCATAAAGAATGATTTGCAAATTGGGTAGCCCTTCAACCAGAAGAGAGTCAAAGCTACTCTGGCACTGGTGTCATAAGCATTTGAACCAGAATGACACCATCTTGAATAAGGCCTGGGTGAAATAAGGCTGAGACCTACTGGGCTGCACTTCCAGGAGGATAGGCATTCTAAGTTACAGGATGAGATAGGAGGTCAGCACAAAATACACATCATAAAGACCTTGCTGATAAGACAGATTGCACTAAAGAAGCCAGGTAAATCCCACCAAAACCATGATGGCAAGGAAAGTCACTTCTGGTCATCCTTACTGCCCATTATATGCTAATTATAATGCATCAGCATGCGAAAAGACACTCCCACCAGCACCATGACAGTTTACAAACGCCATGACAAGGTCAGGAAGCTACACAGTATGGTTTAAAAAGGGGAGGAACCCACAGTTCCAGGAATTGCCTACCCCTTTCCCAGAAAACTCATGAGTAATTTACCCCTTGTTTAACATATAATCAAGAACTAAGTATAAATATCCTTAGTCCAGCAGCCCAAGCTACTGCTCTGCCTATGGAGCAGCCAATCTTTTATTCCTTTAATTTCTTAATAAACTTGCTTTCACTTTATGGATTCTCCTCCAAATTTTTTCTTGCATGAGATCCAATAACCCTCTTTTGGGGTCTGGATCAGGACCCCTTTCCAGTACCACTGATGCTGAGTCAAAGAGGATTTATGGATAAAAAAAGAAAAATGATGTAAATAAATGGAAATGAGATACAGAAACAGCTCGATTGGTTACAACTTGGCGTTTGCCTTATTTGAACTTGGTTTAAACAGTTGGCTTCCTTTAATTGCCTGAAACTTGGTAATTGCTACAAGAGTAGGGTACAGGTTGTTTGTACATTCAGATTGGCTATAGTTTGCTTTTACAAAGAAATCTTTATGTCAATCTTAAAATATATAAGGAAGCAACTTTAGGCTAAATTCAATTTAACACTTTTTATAGCTTAATATTAAATGGGGCAAAGTTAATATCCTTAAGTCTATCAACTTCTAGATTGTTCTTCTGATCCATTATATTGAAAATACATAATAATAAATAGAAATTCACATTCATCTGAGTATGATGGAGGAAAAAACAAAATTTGGCTAGCTTTGCCCATACAGAGGCATCAACTTATAAGATTACATTTATTTCTGATAACAGTAGGGTCAAAGACAGACAGCTTCCCCTTTGTTCTATGAAGACTCACCAAAAATGAAGTGGCAATAGGCAGATTAATAGGAGAAAAAATATGCAAAATATATTTACCAAACATAACATGGAGGAATTACATGAGTATAATTACCCAATAACCCAATGAGGTCCAGATGTTTATCGGTTCTTCTTCTTAGGACAAGGGAACAGGAGAGGTATAGAAGTAAATGTATTTTAGGGAAAAAAGAATGAGCTCAAAGAATAATGACCTGGCACAAAATTTCCCTGAGGTCTGGGGGAGGTGGCAGGAAGGTGAGTGGCAGAACTTTGCTTTGAACAAAGGTCATCTTATTGTGAAAATAAAGGCCCTCAAGTAAACCCTTGGAGCAGCCCTTCGAGGAAGAGATGAAAAGTCTGTCTGGTCATGGTGAGGACTCCTAGCTTCTTCTCTTCGCTGTGGTAATTCTTTCCTGATTATTTGATGAGATTACTAGGAAAAGGGTCTTAAGACAATTGCATTTCTTTTAGAGACAGGCTTTTTTTAGTCAGATAAGAAATTTATTTTTTCAGAAAGAATTCCTCCATGTGCTTCAGGAAAGAAAGGATCAGAGATGGGAAGGGGAAGGTCTTAGAGAGACTTTGGTTCTGAGGCATATTTCTGAGACCTTTTAATTTTCTTTAATTCTAACACTCAAAATGCCAAAGCATTGTATTTTGAGGTATCATTTTCTGTGCCCCAACATAATCAAATTAAATCCTTACACCCTCAGCTTCAGGACTTGTAGTGGGTAAGGTGTTAGGGTTCTACCCTTGAAGCAATCAAAAGCAGTGTACAATACTTGATGAAGGTGCTTTTACGATATTATCAGAAACAGGCTTGAGATGGTTACAATCACATTGCAGAAGTTTCTAAATATGGCCCTAAGGTTCTTCTCCACTCTTCACATTGAGAGAGGGGTTTATATCTTCCCCGTCAGTCTAGGCCTCTATGGCCGCTTGGCCAATAGAATACGGGAGAAGCGACACTGTGCTGTGCCAATTTCCTGTCCAGACATTAAAAAAGCAAAACAAACAAACAACCCAGCAGTTTCAACTTTCTAAGTCTAAGGAATTCGTTCTTGGAATCCAGCCATGATGCTGTAAGAAGGCCAAGCTTCCCATGAGAAGTCCACATGGAGAGAAACCAAAAGCTATCACAAACTTGCCGGCTATGGTCACAACATGTGGAGGAGAGATGAGCTATCCCCATTAAGCCTTGCACAGATGACAGATTGCTAAGCAAAATAAACAGTTATTGTTTTAAGATACAAGATATAGATTGTTTGTTACGGAGCAATAGATAACAAGAGCACACCTACACATACGCACACACATAAATTTCTTATTATGTCTCAAACATATGTTGCTAAGCAAATTTACTTGAGAAAAAAATATGTTCTTATAATCTTGAATCTGAAAATGTCACCATAAAGAAATGCACTAAACTTGCAAGATAAATCACAAAATTCTACTAAATTTCTAACTGAATATTATTTTCCATTGAAATTAATGTACAAAAAACATTAATTTCAACATATTATCTGCATAAGAAAGACCTTTATATCAAGTATCATGTAGAAAACCCTTGTACACTCAAAGAATGTTTATTTGGTATATTATTGAGATGGTTTTTCAAGTTAAAAACAAATCTACTTTCCTTGCAAGTTAACATTGGTTGTCTTTAAGTTTGGTTGAGAATTATCTGCAAGCATGTAATAGTTGTATTTTGTTGTTCCATTTGAACGTCTTCAGTGACAGCAGGATTCTCAGATCTCTTGTGTGACATCTTGTTTTTATTTGGCTGGAGAGTAATAATAAATGTAGCTAATAATTTCCTTTTCATAGCCAGTATTTGTAACACACTGCTCTGTGCTACAATTACTTTTGAAGCACACAATTGGAATGTAAGAACAACTAATCACCCCTAGATTGCATCATATTTGTTCTATTTTCAATGAAAATCACATGACACATTTCTGTACCAATTCTTTAAATGCCTTTCCTACCAAATTCTCTGTTTATAACCATTTGCAACCTGATATATGTATCAGCAAATAATGCAAGTGGAAAGGTAGTTACATTATTATTAACACACTCTTATTCAACATTCAAAAGAAACTTGGCTTGTCTATTCATGTTCATTTTCATGCTTCATCTGATATTCATGATACAGAATAATAAATTTAATATCAGTGAACATATTTTTGCCTAAAAGAATAAAAATCAGAAGAAATTGCTCACTAATATATATTCTAGAAGTAATTCTATATCTAGTCCCAAGAGCTTGAGGAAAATGAAAGCAATTTTTTAATTTTCAATAGTGACAATGAAACAATCATTTGAACAAACTTATTGATCAGATTTTAAATTTCATGTGCTCTTCCATAGATTTCACAGTTTAAACATTCTTCTAATTCTTCAGTGAAGATAGATGACAAATTTAATAGCATATATTTTCCTTTTTTATTAAAAAATTATTGTACATGCTGCAATAAATAGCAACATTGATTCAGTGAAATGAAAATGCAATATATAAAATATCTTATTTTTATTGAAAGCTGTAGTAGTTATATTTGACATACAATGTAACACATATATTTAAAATTACAGCTTGATTTTTTTTTTTTTTTTGAGAAGGAGTCTCACTCTGTTGCCCAGGCTGGAGTGTAGTGACGCCATCTCAGTTCACTGCAACCTCCGCCTCCTGAGTTCAAGCGATTCTCCTGCCTCAGCCTCCTGAGTAGCTGGAATTACAGGCGTGAGCCACCCGCCTGGCCACAACTTGACATTTTTTTACACATGTATATACAGGTGAAACAATTATTCCCATCAAAATAATAAACATAGCAACCACCTACAAACTTTTCCTCCTACCCTTTTATTACTTCCTTCTTACTCCGTTCCAGATTCCTCCAGAAAACTAATGATCTGCTTTCAACCACTATAACTATGTTTCATTGTCTAAAACACATAGTTTATTTTATTTATTTATTTTTGTGACGGAGTCTTGCACTGTCGCCCAGGCTGGAGTGCAGTGGCACAATCTCGGCTCACTGCAACCTCCGCCTCCTAGGTTCAAGTGATTCTCCTGCCTCAGCCTCCCGAGTAGCTGGGATTACAAACCCATGCCACCACACCCAGCTAATTTTTTGTATTTTTAATAGAGAAGGGGTTTCACTATGTTGGCCAGGCTAGTCTTGAACTGACACCGTGATCCGCCCACCTCGGCCTCCCAAAGTCCTGGGGTTACAGGCCTGAGCCACCACGCCTGGCCTAAGTATAGTTTATAAGAATCGAATTGTACAGGATACGCTTTCTTCACATATTTGTCTTTTTAAAAACTTGTAGCTATCTTAGTGCGTGTGTGTATATGTATAAATGCTGGTATCGAACTCTGGGTCTACATTTTTCAAATGACTAATGACGTTGAGGAACTTTGCACATGCATATTTAATAGTCATCCGTAGATCTACTCTGGTGAAGTGCTTGTTGAAATCTTTGGCCAGTTTTTCATTTGGTTGTTGATTTTCTTATTGTTGATCTTTGAGTCTTTTATGTATTCTGGATACAAATCTTTTGTCAGATATATACTTTGTAAAGATAATTTCCCAGGACATGGCTTGCATTTTTATTATCTTAAATTTTTACTTTTGATATGTGTTTTAGTCCATTTTCACACTGCTATAAAGATACTACTGAGGCTGAGCGCAGTGGCTCATGCCTGTTATCCCAGCACTTTGGGAGGCCGAGGGGAGTGGATTGCTTGAGGTCAGGGGTTGAAGACCAGCCTGACCAACATTGTGAAACCCCCTCTCTACTAAAAATACAAAAACATCTGGGCGTGGTGGCGGGCGCCTGTAGTCCCAGTTACTCACGAGGCTGAGGCAGGAGAATCGTTTGAACCTGGGAGGAGGAAGTTTCAGTGAGCCAAGATCGCGCCACTGCACTCTAGCCTGGGCGACAAGGCAAGACTCGGTTTCAAAAAAAAAAAAAGAAAAAAGAAAAGAAAAAAGAAAAAGATGCTACTGAGACAGGGTAATTTATAAAGGAAAGAGATTAAATGAACTCACAGTTCTGCATGGCTGGGAGACCTCAGGAAACTTCCAGTCATGGCGGAAGGCAAAGGGGAAGCAACTACTGTCTTCACAAGGCAGCAGGAGAAAGAGAGAGAGCAGGAAAAACTGCCACTTTTAAACCATCAGATCTCCTGAGAACTCCCTATCACGAGAACTCCCTATCACGAGAACAGCATGGGTGAACCTCCCCCATGATTCAGTCACCTCTCACCAGGTCCCTCCCTTAACACCTGGGGATTACAATTCCAGATAAGATTTCAGTGGCGACAGAGCCAAACCATATCCATGTGTATGATTTATCAACATTTTCCTTTCATGGATCTTGTTTTTGTTGACATATATGAAAATTCTACTTAACCAAAAGCCATAGGATTTTTTCACCTATGTTCTCTTATGTATTTTTTATAGTTTTATCATTGACATCTAGCTCTATGATTAATTTTGAGTTTTTTTTAATGTAAGTTTTGCTTTGGTTTCTGTATTGTTTGTATTTTTTGCTTATTTGTTTATAGACATCTAATTTTCCCAGCACAAATTTTTTGTAATGTCTATTTTTTTTTTTTTTTGCCCTTAAATTAACTTGGCATCTTCGTAGAAAATCAATTGACTGAAAAGGTAAGCCTTTATTTCTGGACTCTCAGTTATACTCATGGACCTATTTGATTATAATTTTGGTAATAACACGCTACCTTTATTATTCAAATTGTACAGTGTATTCAGACTTAAGGTGGTATAAGTCCTCCAATTTTTTTTTCAAAGTGGTTTTGGCTAGGCTCAATCTTTTACATTTCCACATAATTTTTAAAATCACCTTGTCATTTTCTATTATAAAATAACATGCTGAGATTTTGATAGGAAGTTCATGTAATCTACAGAACAATTTGAGAAGAGTTCTCATCTTAACAATTCTGAGTCATTCCATGAACATGAGATACCTCATCATTTGCTTAGGTCTTCTGTACTTTCAGCAATATTTTGTAGTTTTTAATTGTTGTTTTAAATATATTTTTATTGTAGCTTCTAATGTAAATGTGAATAAAGCTTTTTTCTGAGATTTTATTTTTATGTCTCTTATTGCTAGAATTCCAAAATGCATTATTGTACATTAATTTTGTATCCTGTGATTTTTGCAAACTGTATTTCTTTGTTTTCTTTCTGAGTGTATGTATTCCTTAGGATTTTCTATCTATAGGATTATGTCATTTGCAAAAAATAACTATCTTACTTCTCCTTATTACTATGCATGCTTGTTATTTAATTTCATTTTTATCATTTTATTTTTGCCATATAACACTGGCTAGACTCTTAGCATGACATTTAATAGAATGGTAGGAGTAGACATTTTTTACTTTTTCTCTATAATAGGAAAAGGGGTTTTCAGCCTTTCACAACTAAACATGATATTAATTGTCATTTTTTTGTTTGTTTGTGGTATGTGTCCTTTATCTAGTTGAGAAAGTTCACTTCTATTTCTTAACTTTGAGAGTTTTTACTATGAAGCAGTGTTAGATTTTCTTCAATTATCATTTTTTTGTGTCTTTTAAGATGATTATGTGTATTTTTGTGCTTCACTCTCTTAATACACCATACTAATAAATTTATAGACATTAAATTACCTGTTCAGTTCTTGAATTAACCCCATTTGGTATAGTATATAATTCTTTATTTGTTTCTTTCTTTTTTTTTTTTTTGACAGAGTCTTGCTCTGTCACCAGGCTGGAGTGCAGCGGCACGATCTCAGCTCACTGCAACCTCCCCCTCCTGGGTTCAAGTGATTCTCCTGCCTCAGCCGCCTGAGTAGCTGGGACTACAGGCACATGCCACCATGCCCAGCTAATTTTTTTGTATTTTTAGTAGAGACGAGATTTCACCATGTTAGCTAGGATGGTCTCAATCTCCTGACCTGGTGATCCGCCCACCTCGGCCCCCGAAAGTGCTGGGATTACAGGCATGAGCTACACGCCCGGCCAGTATAGTATATCATTCTTATATTATGCTGAATATAATTGGCTAATATCTTAAGATTTTACGCATTTATGTTTATAAGGTTATTGCACTATGAATTACTTTTCTTGTGATTTTTTGTTTGGTTTTGGAATACACTAACCTCTTGGAAATGTGATTAACACTGTCCCCTTCTCTTCTGTTCTCTAGAAGCGTTTGAGTAGATATGGTATTTTTTCTTCTTTAAATATTTGATGAAATTTACCAGAGAAGCCATCTGGGCTGGCCTTATGTTTTGTTGTTGTTGTTGTTGTTGCTGTTGTTCTTTTCTTGAGAGGTTGATTATGCTTTGGGAAAGATTTTTAATTTCAAACTTTTTTACGGATGTAAGTTTTATTCAGGTTTTCTATTTTTTCTTGAATTAGTTTTGGTAACTTCTAACTTTGTCAGACTTTGGGTGGATTAGACTCGATATTGGTTAGAACCTAATAAAACCTTGCTGCAGTTTCATCAGAGGTCCACTCATAGTTTGTCCTGAAAGTTGGGAGAGGAGAAATTCTCCTAATGAGCAAATCTTTGGTCATTCACGTTATATGGAAAGAGAAGCAGACTAGTGACAGAATGTATGCAGAATCATGGGGTGTGGCAAATAGCTTAGCAGGTTTTTGGAAAGTCTGCAAAAAAAAAATGAGACTAAGAACAAGAATGTCTGGGGAACCACATGTCAATTAACCTACAGGAGTGGACATGATATATGATCTTTGTAGTATATGATAATACCCAACAAGAGGCATGTGCCATTGACAATGCACTAAACAACCAGACAGAAACAATGACTCAGCCATTTGATGTAAGAAAGTCTCAATGGCCCCTTTAGTCCTGAAAGGATAAGTGCATAATAATAAGGTTGTTATAGTGGCAAGGGTGGTCATGAATGAACCTAGTGACATAGATTCCAACTCACTAAGGCTGACCTAGCTACTATGGCTTCAGAATGTCCAATATTCAAACATAAAAGTCCAATTCAGAACCCATGATATGCCCTCATACATGAAGAGACCACATGTACTCTATAGTAGCAAGTTAATTACAGTGGAGTCCTTTGACACCAGAGGTGAAAACATCAAAACCTATCCCAGGTTCAGTTCCTGCCTTCAGGGTCTCAATAAGCATTATCATTCAAGGAATTACAAGTTGATATAGGACTAGCACAGCCTCAGAACCTACTTTAGAGCAAAACAGTGTATCAGTGTAGTTTACTGTGGCATCAACTACTTCTGTTATACACACATACGCACACACACATACACACATATGCACCCCACCCAGAAGCTGTTAATCAGAGAGAGAAATATAAATGTAACAGTCCATGAAAAGCACAACTGATGTGCCTGTTTAAGGATAATACTCTGGTAAGGTAGAACACTGTATTTCAAAACGCAATATATCCCCTAAATCAATAGCTCTCATATGGTGCTAGGATAAAAAAGTTGAGATATATGGATTTGATAGCTGAGAGTGGTTCTCAGTAAGTAACTGAACTTATTTTTATTTCCAGCTACCCATTTAAGAGGTTTTTACTTATTTCTTTTTTTTTTTCCTCAGAGATCTGGGTTCCTGTGGAAGAAGACTTTCACCAGAGTACACAGCAAGAGTCCCTTTAAACTTCAATCCTTGGCTGTTGTAGGTATACTTCAGGACTTGTTGTCAAAATACCAATAATCAAGAGAAGGTGTCACAATCTTAGTAGTAGTAATTATCTTGATCATCATAAAGAGATAGAAATGTTATGCAGTGAGGTCAGAAAACAACATGCTTGATACTCATGTCCTCCCTGAGATATCTCTTGGCATTTTCTTACCCAATTTTATTGTTTAATGCTCATGTACAGTAGACTGAGGGAAGCATGAAGACCTGGAGTTCAAACCCCCTTGGGAGTGAATAACTTCTTGGTCAACTTACGAATAAGACCCTAAGCCAGTGAAGATCCTTGTTAAAATTGACGGGAATCTAGAACTGGTTTTTAAAAAAGAAAAAAAAAGAGAGAGAGAGAAGCAAATTATGTCTTCAAGACCAGCTACAGTGGTGATGTTGAAGTTTTTTCCACTAAACTTCCTGTTGCAATTTACCCCAAGAAATATGACCAGTGCAAATCTTGAATGAAGAGTTTCTAAAATGTATTACATAAAGTATGTGGAGCTGAAGAAAGCAAAAGGTTGGACTATAATGGATGCTCTTTTGTGCCTCCAAGATACACCCTTCAGTTCTGAGGCTTTCATTTGTCCGCCCCCTGAGAGTATTGCTGCCTGATGTCTTTCTCCTGAGCCTTGAGACTTATGAATTGTCCTTGGGCAAAGGGAGCTGCCTTACCAGAAGAAACCTTCTTTCTCTAGGACACTCCTTATCAAATGGCTATTGATATGATAGTATAAATGCTTGTGCCCCTATATCAAAGCAGAATTCTAAAGAACCATTTTAGCAGAGCTGCCCAAGAGATTGGCCAAGGCCTCCTTGAGACTGTTTCACAGTTCAAGTTCTTTTTCTCAATCTTAATTTTTTTTATTTCTCAATAGGTATTAATCCTGAGAACTCTCCTTAATAAAATTATTATGTGCAAATTTTCATCTCCAGATCTGTTTACTGAGAAACTTTGCTATATCTGAACACAGCACATAACCAAATCATCACTCTATTCTAATCAATAAACAGAAAATAACAATGGACTATTTCCTCTGCTAGCATATCTGATAGGGCAATAGTGTATTCGGGTTAAAATATTATAAATTTAGACATTATAGGTCTAAATTTTAGATAAATTATAGGGTCTATTTATTCAAAATAAGAGGTTCAATACACTTGTGATTCTGTAATCATTATCCTACTTCATAATGTGGCTCACTAATGCTGATCACATGGGGACAGTGGGCAAGAGTAAGCAAGACGTGTGCATTTTTATTGGCACTACTGGAAAGTAATCAAAAAGGTTATATATTAATGTTTTATGTCTCGTGGAAAAGTTACACATACGTTTTTGAGAGAAAATTTAAAGGGCAAACATGGTAAAAATAATTTAAGAAACAGAAACACTGTGGGAAATATGAGTTGCTGTATGTATTTAAAAATATAATTGTACAAATATGTAATCACCCAAGGGGTTCTTCCTGCACACTGCACAAAAATCAATTGACTGAGACTGTAGTATTGCAGAAAATAAAGAATTTAATAGATGCAAGGACAGCCATGCAGGAGAACTAGAGCTATCACTCACATCAGTCTCCTCAAAGGCTCAGAGGTTAGGGTTTTTCAAGGATAATTTGATGGGCAGAGGGCTAGGGAATGGGGAATGTTAATTGTTAGCGTAGGGGATACATTCACTGGGGGTCAAAGTGGGTTTTTCTTTCTGCTTTCGGTTCCTGGGTGGGATCACAGAACTAATTGAACCAGTTTACCGATCTGGGTGGTGCCAGCTGGTCCATCAGAATGCAGGGCCTGATGAATGTCTCTAACAACAATCTTAGGTTTTACAATAGTGATGGTATCCACAGGAGCAGTTGAGGAGGTTAGGAATCTTGTGGCCTCTGGCTGCATGACTCCTGATCCATCATTTTTAATCTTGTGGCTAACTTGTTAGCCTTACAAAGGTGGTCGGGTCCCCAGCAAAGAGAGGGTTCATTTCAGGAAGGGGCTATCATCTTAGTTTCAAAGTTAAACTATAAGGTAAATTCCTACTATGGTAAGCTCAACCTACACCCAAGAATGAACAAGAGCAGCTTGTAGGTTAAAAGCAAGATGGGGTCAGTTAGGTCAGATTTCATTCACTGTCGTAATTTTCCTATGTTTGATTTTTTCAGTGTCATAATTTTTGCAAAGGTGTTTTCAAATACACTTTTCTTTCTTCAACTCATAAATAGCAACTGGACAGCTGAGTAAATGCACTAGGATTCTCCAATTAACTAATCCCTTTATGTGGTCCATTCCCTGCCAAAAAGCTCAAGTTTTCTTATATAAAATAATTCTCCCAGAGTTTTTGAGATTATTCTAATAAAAATTGTAAATAAAAAATTATTGTAAACGATAAAATTGAAAGTCGATATCTCGTCCCTTTAATCCCACTTAATAATCAATTTTTTTAAAGTTTCAAAAATCATTTGCTAACTATGACTTACTATTATTGTTTTTATTTACTAAAAAGTTTTCAGGTTGTGCTTCAGTCAAAAAAATACAACCTACTGATAATACACTTACTGAATTCGTAAGTATTAGAGTCTAGGTCATTCATGTAGCTATACTAATAAATAGTATGGATTTGATAGAGAAAATGCTAACCAATTTATTCTGGTGGGGGAAAAAAAAGAAGTCTTTGGTTATGGAGCATTGAGATAATTAGGGTGGAATTGGCAATACAGGGGATGATGCTTCAACTTCAAGTCCCTTGAGTGCAGAGCACAGATTGAACAGCTGTTGGCCAGAATCCAGGAGGTCAAAACTGGCCAGCTGTATCTTTGGCCAGCAGTGTTGAGTGGTACTCCATTTCTCCAAGCACAAAGGGCAAGAAAAGGTGAGGAAGTCTTAGCTTTTCAACTGAAATGCATGTGGAAATTTCCCCAGTGGATGATACCTTCCTCTAGATGTTAAAGCTCAGGGCAGGCAGATGGTGGTTCTGTCAAATAGCTTGCATTAGAGACTCCATTCTTTTGAGAAAAATACAAACTTAAATTTTAGAGACATAGTACTTGATATAGGTTACCACTACATTAAATGACTGCATGATTTAGAGATGTTTGATGTCAAAGCATTTTAAAAATAAAACCATAAATTATACAATCTTTTACAAAGTGAGTTAGAAGCTTTATTTATGAGGATTGTGGTAATTAAAACAACTGAATTACAAGGAATTGCATCGAAGGAATTTTTCTGTGTTGCTTTTTAGCTTGTTTTCTGGCAGGTGTCATGAGATGGTCAGATAAATGCTCTAGTATATTATTCAATAATTATTAAAACATGTACTGCATAACAAAAATAATAAAAGGAAGCTCTGAACACCTATGAGTTAGTGTAAAAAGTAATATTGGTCAGCAGGAGTGGTTACTCAAAGCAAAGCAGCGATGTACACTCAAGCAATATTTAACAATAGGGAAACCTGAGAAATGTATCGTTAGGCAATTTTGTCATTGTGTGAACATAATAGATTGTACTTATACAACCTAGACAATATAGCTTACAACACACCTGGCATATACGGTATAGCATATTGCTTCTAGGCTACAAACCTGTATGGTATGTTACTGTACTGAAGACTGTAGGTAATTGTAGCACAGTGGTGAGTATTTGTGTATCTCAACATAGAAAAGGTACAGTAAAAATCATAGTATAACAGATAGAAAAACATACACCTGTACAGGGCACTTACTGTGAATGTAGCTTGCAGGACTGCCAGTTGCTCTAGTTTAGTGCATAAGAGAGTGGCAGGTAGATATGAAGGCCTGAAATTCTATGGTAGATGTCATTAACAGTGTACACTCAGGGTATATCAAGAAATATTTCTTCAATAATAAATTAACATTATCTTACTGCTATGTTTTTACATCATAAGCTTTTAAAGTTTTTAACTTTTTGACTCTTTTTAGTAACATGTAGCTTAAAACATAAACACATTGTATAGCTGTACAAAATATTTTCTTTATATCCTTATTCTACAAGCATTTTTCTATTTTTAAAAATTTTTAGTTTATTTTTTCCTTTTAATTTTTTTGTTAGAAACTAAGAAACACACACACATTAACCTTGCCCTACACTGGGTCAGGCTCTTCAATATTACTGCCTTTTACCTCCATATCTTGCCCCACTAAAAGGTCTTCAGTCACAATAACAAGCATGTAATGATTATCTCCTATGATAAAAATATCTTCTGAAATACTTCCTGAAGGACCTGCCTGAGGCTGTTTTATAGTTAACTTATTTATACCCTAAAATAACAATGAAATGTATAGTATATTAAATACATAAACCAATAGTATAGTTAGTTCTTATCATATCAACTATTAAGTATTGTACATAATTGTAAGTACTATATACTTTTATATGCCTGGCAGTTCAGTAGGTTTTTTGTACAGCAACATCACCACAAACATAAGAGTAATTCATTGCACTGTGATGTTACAAGGACTATGATGCTACTAGGTGATAGGAATTTTTCAGCTCCATTATAATCTTAGGGGACCACCATCCTACATGCAGTCAGTCATTTACTGAAACTTGGTTACATGGCACACGACTGCATTTGAAGCCAAGACCACAGCTCATCACAGGCAGCTGTGGAGTATGAATTACCCATCATAATTGTTCTGTCTTAAGGCAAATATGCTGGGAGTTTATATCTTTTCATTCTCCAGTCATTGGATATGGGCAGTTGCCTAAAAACTGGCATGACTTTGGGCAAGGTTGCTCTCTTGGGCTAAAAGAAGCTTCTTGGAGAGCGTTTCATCTGAGACGTGTCATTGACCAATGTTCTCCAGGTCCAGGTCCAGTAGTCTTATAAACCCAGAGAATCTATTGTGCCAGCTTCAAAATAACTTAAAATACAATATAAAAGTTTAAGTACCACTGTGACATGAATTATAAAAATATTGATATAACCCTTTGATTATTTAGTATAGATATTTTGCAATTTAACAATATACTGTTTGATGTATTTTTTTAATTTGCCAAGAATACTTAATGTAATGAGTATGAGCAAAATTTTTCTATTTTCTCTCAGTGCTGAAAGTCTATTTTCTGTTGCATTAGAAGAATATCACATTTTATGTGCTTTTTTTTTTTTTTTTTTTTTTTTTTGAGACAGAGTCTTGCTCTGTCGCCCAGGCTGGAATGCAGTGGCGTGATCTCGGCTCACTGCAAGCTCCGCCTCCTGGGTTCACGCCACTCTCCTGCCTCAGCCTCCCAAGTAGCTGGAACTACAGGCACCCGCCACCACGCCTGGCTAATTTTTTGTATTTTTAGTAGAGACAGGGTTTCACCCTGTTAGTCAGGATCTTCTGACCTCGTGATCCGCCCGCCTCGGCCTCCCAAAGTGCTGGGATTACAGGCATGAGCCACCGCGCCTGGCTTTTACGTGCTATTTATTTGTGATCAACAAATACAAGTGGAAGACTACATAGCAAAGTGGGAATCAGTATTGGAAATATATTTGCAAATAGATAATGGAATCCATGAGAGTAAATATTCAATAGGAATAAAATATATTATGAGAAAACATTGTAATCCAAAGCTTGGTGGATATTTCACAGCTGGTAAAGAAAAAACAAAACAAAACAAAATACATCAGAAGCAACAACAAAGAAAAATAGACTCATAAGTGGCCAAAGGTATAATTAAGCTAGCAAAAAAATAATGGTTTTGTGAAAACCAAGAGAGAAGAAATTTATATAGTTTATCAATAACATCAAAAATTACAGTGATGTCAAGTAGAATTCTTACTGAAAAAAAGACCTTAAATGTGCAGATTACAAGGATACTCATCCCAAATATTCAGGGTCACTCTGAAAGTGGTAGTGCTGATGTGACAAAATAGGGCTAAATTCAGATATGTCTCGGACGTATTTTACTATCTTCTATGAGGTAAGCAAAATTCAAAAAATGGCCCCCACCACATTTTTTATCATTATTATTGGGAATGCCAATATAACGAAAATCACGCTATTGAATATGTTAACATACAAGGCCACAGGGACTTAGAGAATGTAATTAAGTGTACTAATCAGTTGACACTTATGATCGGGTAATGACCATGGTCCAATGTAATCACACGCGCATTTGAAAAGCAGAGTTGCCAGCTGGTAGCAGAAGAGGAATTCAGAAAGATTAAAGTGTGAGAAAGACAAAACACATGGTTGTGGACTTTGAAGACAGAGAAGGTGACGTGAGAAGTACAGGTGGTCACTGCTGGCAGAGAGCCAACAAGGAAAGTGGAACCTTTAGATCTCCAACTGCATAGAACTGGATTCTGCCATTGATCTGAAAGAATCTGGAAGTGGATTCTTTTCCAATGTCTCTAGATAAAAGTTTAGCCTGATCAACACCATAATTTCAGCTTTGTGATAACCCCAACATAGAATTCAGTTGAGGTCACCCAGACTTGTGACCTGCAGGACTGTGAGCTAATGAATGGGTGTTGTTTGAAGTTATTAAATCTGTGGAAATTTGTTTTGCAGCAAAAGAAAAGAAATATACCCCTCTTACTTAAGGAATAAATCTATCCCAAATTTGTGAGTAGCATCCCCACCAACACACACATGATTTTTCTGGAAGTAGATATTAGAAATTATTCTTTCAAGAAAAATGAACATTTTCTTAATGAGACACAGATATATAACCATTAAAGTCAGCACATGATTGAGGGATGGAATGAATCACATTCTGAACTATTGCTTCTGATGAGCATGTGTATTTATGTATACTTATGCACAACTACATTCAAAGCCTAAATTCTCATTCATTTCTCATATTAAAAATTGGTGTGATCTCTCACTCCTGGAACTTCATCTGGATTTATTTCTGACCCTTGTTATTTTATATTATATATTATATATTACACACATTTGCTTAATTGGAATTCTAAAAACCTGAATTCAAATTTCAGTTTCAATAGCTATCAACTATACACACTTCAAGTTACTAATTTGTATCCTCACTGTATACCAGGTTGCTTATTTACGTTATTCAAAGGGTGAGACAATATATCAAAGACCACTTAGCCTAGTGTTTAACACTTGATGTATGCAAATATTATTAGTAGAATCTGAACTGTGTCAAAGATAAGAATAATGATTTAGTCATTACTGTTTCCTCTATAATATTTGCCAGATTTTATTACATAAATGAAAAGTTCACATATTTTTATCTCAGAGTGTTTGGCAAAAACAATATTCTTATAAAGTTTTCATATATAGAAAATAGTCTGACTTACATGAAAATGCAAAACCTTTAAAGAATGTACATGTAATAAGTTCATATATATTTGTATATGTAGTTATACAAAACTTAAAGAGACTAGAGAAACTTGGAAACAATATATTTGGATTCCGGCTGGAGAAAAATATCTACAAATGACTGTTTATTGACAAATTGTTGAAATTTGAATATTGAGTACAGATAATTTTTTAGTTTCTGATTTTGTTAACTATACTGTAGCTATTTAAGATAATAAGCTTACTCTTAGGCTGAGCACACTGAAGTATTTAGGGGTTAAGGGTAACACTATCTCCAACTTACTCTCAAATGATTTAAGAAGAAAAATAATATACGTATATGTATAAATAAATAGATAAATAGAACAAAACACAGAGAGAGAGAGGGGATGATAAAACAAGTGAGACAAAAATATAAGCAGCTAGTAAATTTAGGTAAGAGTATCTTGGAGATTCTTGTACTAATCTTGCAACTTTTCTGTAAGGTGAAAATATAAAATAATGACATATTTCATAAAAAACAGAGTAGTATGCAATAAATGTATAACTTTCTAATGTATAATGATAATTGATATGAAATTTCAAAACAACTTACTAAGGTATAAAGGTAATTGATATGAAATTTTAAAAGACTCATTATTACAAACATTTCACTTAGTAAAATATTATAAATATGAAGATTAATACAAAATATAAAAATTTTAAATGCTGAAGACATCTGTTACAATATACAGTTATGCTGTAATAAAATGTGATAAAACCCATAAAACCTCATAGCATTTTATTAATGCCTTAAAGCTTCTATCATTTAAGATGTATAATTATTTGATGGGGTAAATCAATATGAAGTCCTCGCTGCACTAGTAGTCATTTTGGAGAAGTTGCATTAATAGTGCTACACCTCCTAGTCTGCCAGCCACGATAATTTTTTTGTTGTTGATGTGAGACAGAGTCTCATTCTGTCTCCCAGGCTGGAGTGCGTTGGTGAGATCTCCACTCACTGCAACTTCCACCTCCCGGGTTCAAGCAATTCTCCTGCCTCAGCCTCCTAAGTAGCTGGGATTACAGGCGCGTGCCACCACACCAGGCTGGTTTTGAACTCCCGACCTCAAGTGATCCTCCTGCCTCGGCCTTCCAAAGTGCTAGGATTACAGGCTTGAGCCACCGTGCCCAGCCCAGCCAAGATAGTTCTAAAGTCATAGAGGAACTTAGAAAACTAGTCAGTTAAGTTACATTACATCAATTTTATCTGCCACTTAACAATACCTTTCATACTTAAGTTTCTATAGATAAATGTTCTTAATTCTTAACCCAAATTTTTCAATAACAAATGTATTTTCCAAGGATATAACAGAACTATCTAATGTCAATGACTATGAAAGGTTTCTAAGGAGCAAGAGTTGAAAGGGGTGGCAATAATAATTACTTCCAAAATATTAATTATAATCCTTTTGTAGATATTTCATCTTAAAGTTGAATTATGCCAGCCATTAGACACTGAAGTATGATATTAAACTTTTTTTTTGGTCATTGGCTTAACAGTATTGTACCTTCAATTTGTATCGCATTGCTATTTGAAACTAGTCTTGCACATTAAGAGAAGCATTTTACTGTTTTCATTCAGCACTTCACATGAAAAAACATACTGTGCTAAATTTGTAAAAGCCTTATTTTTTATTTTTTCTTTGGATACTCACCAGAATGATCAGATCTGATTTTGACACATGCTTTCATTAACAGAGTATACATTTAAAATGTATATTGCTCCATGCACATGAACCTCTGCTTTCTTTTTACTCATTTTTAATTTTTTCTTTACTAATTTTGTAACTATTTTATTTCATGGCGACTGCATGTAGTTTTGTAAGCTCTATAAAATCTGTTTTTTAAAGAGATGAAGCAGGCTGAGCACAGTGACTCACCCTGTAATCCCAGCACTTTGGGAGGCAGAGGTGGGTGGATGCTTTAGGCCAGGAGTTTGATATCAGCCTTGGTAAGATGGTGAAACCTCATTTTAGTCTCTACTACAGTTAAAAAATTAGCTGGACATGGTGGCACACACCTGTAATCCTAGCTACTTGGGAAGCTAAGGCAGGAGAATTTCTTGAACCCAGGAGGCACAGGTTGCAGTGAGCCAAGATCGCACCACTGCACTCCAAGCTGGGCAACAGAGCAAGACTCTGTCTCAAAAAAAAAAAAAAAAGAAAGAAAGAAATGAAATGAAGTGTAATGGAAATAAAGCCTACCACTACGTGTCTCGGTATATACCAAGAAGCCATTTTGCCATAGTTCATCAGCAATGAAACTTTTCAGATATAGTGAGTTCTCATCTGACTACAGTCACCTTCCTCATTAAATTATCAGGTTTCCTTAATTCCTGCTTCTGCACCCATAATACCTGTATCATTTGGTACATATTTCCAAGAAAAGTGCATTCAATGCATGCATAGCTTCTTCATCGTATTAATAATAGAAAGAAGTTATTCTGCACAGCAAAAGTTAGGTTATGATATTAAGCATAACCTAGAACATTTACAGACAAACAGCACATCAAAGTGTAATCACTTTTTTGTATTGCAATCTTCATGTTTCTTCTTTGAATTGGTAATCAAATATGTTTCACATTACTCAATCTACTGATAGTTGGGTACTATCTCCTTTTCTTAAGAGTCAAAATCCTTGATAAATTTAAATTTCATCATCCCCCACAATAGAAAGGAAAACATAAGTATATAAAAAGCACTATTTATCCTTGTTATTTATATGACTAATGCACTGGCAAGAGGACATGTAAGAATCGGTGCTGGCTCTCTGAAACCAATGGAAGAATCACTTGGCCCTATGCAGAAGTTTATTATAATCATAAGTAGGTATGACGCCGCAATTTTCCTTGTATTTAGAGCACTGATAGGAAGCGAAAGATTATCCTCATTTACCATTCCAATATTCTTGGCAAAGTGGCTTTAAAACTGCTATACTTTGTGACAGAAATGCCTTCAATGTTGAAAGCATTGACTTGGAGATGGTTCACTACAGCTGATTTAATTAGTTTTGAAATAGAATAGTGATTCAAGTCTAGTTCTGAACTCAGTGAGACTTCACAATTTTGTAAATGTATCAGTGTATTTTAATATCTCATTAATTAAATCATCTGTATGTAATTATCCCAATTTGTCTAACAATTAAACTATTTTAGTATATCTACCATATCATTAACAATCCTTTAATGAATAATTTTGGTATCACACAATACAACAATAAAATAAAAATGTGCTCTGTTTTAAGATTTTAAAGATCACTAAAATCCTTGTACCCTAAAACAAGATAAGTGAATTTAGCAGGACCCTTTGTGTCCTCCTTAGAAGAGTGGAATTGTATCGTTGCTCTTTCTTTTAAAAGATAAACACTTTAGCAGGATATAACACTGTTTTGAGCAAGCTGCTGTCATTTTATTGTGCACATTTGGGTTTCATAAATGCTAACTTTAATGATGCAGTATTTCCTTTGTAAAATTATCTTTTATGGTGAATGAAGTAGTCATTAATTTCACCGTAGAGATATAATTTGTACATTTTAATATATTTTTCAACTAATCTATTTGTGTGAGTGTAGCAGCTGGTAGCTCCCAAAAGAAGACAAGACAGTAAAAACCCTACCTGAGTTCTATAATATCTTTGATTCCTCTTCCCTACCACATAAAACCAAGCTTTAAAGTTTTATTTCTCTGTTATGCTGGTATCATAGCTATTTTGTACACAAGTATATCCACGGTATATGAGGGTTGCATGGGTAGAGCAATTACACCAGATTGCACAATAGTTTGTTAATGCTCTATTACTTTTGCATGCAAATAGCTAAACTAAATAGTCTGGGACTCAGTCATTTTAGTTGTTCTTCTCCAATTTAATATGCTGTTTTTAAAAGTCTGCTCATCCAAATTTTTACTACACATATTTCCCTTTTTTTTTTCTATTTTCTCTTCACAGGTATAATTGAATATTTCTGAACCCACTGGTTTGTGGGTATATAAGAAAACACATAATGTACTATTTTTTTCTCCAGCAGGACAAAAAGGTTAAAATACTCTAGAGTTTCATTGTAAATCCTATAAATGGATTTAAATTAAAAAAAATTTTAATATATATTGGAGCAAAAATAACAAAAATAGCAAATGTATGACACGTATGTAACAAAAGCAAGTCAACTAAATGCAACACCTTCCAAAGAGAGTGCATTCTGGATAAAAGAAAGTTGAATTACTTATAAATTCAAGACTACTATCTACTTTTGTCTTGAGTAGTTCTCTCATAAGCAAAGTAAATTAATACAAGTTATTTACTTAAATTTGTTTGGAAAAAAATGATTCTCATTTTAAGTTCAATATTTAGTTAGCTGCCTTTTAACAGAATTAAAACAAAAAAGTAACCAAAACAGTCCACATGAAGTTGAGAAAAAAAAAATCTATAATATCATATGACAATGCTTCTTGATGAATTCAAGAATACACATTTATCAGCAGTTTAATCATGCTAAGTACTTTGGTGTCTTAATTCACTGGATGTTATCAAATTGCATTGATGAGGAACATTTCTGGGTACAAAGCTTTACTGCTTACTAAAGAAAAAATGACATCTTCAAAGATCAAAATTTTTAAAAAATTGTTTTAATTGGTAAGATAAGAACTGATTTGTATTTCTTTTAAGTAAATGTCCTTGATAATCTAAATGTATTTATGAACAGTAGAAAAGGAAAGTTTAAAAACTACTGATAAAACTTAATCATCCTCTTGTTGCCCTCGGCTCTTGCCCCTTTGTGCCTTCTTGGTAAAATTGTAATTCGGATACTGCTAATTACTCTACTGCAGTTTCCCTGGGCTGTGGATGGCAGAATGCAGATTGATGTTAGAGAAGAAGTATCATAACACTGCATAAGGCAGGCTTTTTAAATCATGGAGCCCAAGCAGAACTGGACTCTACCACTGAAATAAGGTAGGGAACTCACTAAAACAAAGAGTATATTTATCCAGAAATAATGTCAGACAGGGCAGATGGCACACAGATACAGAATACCCAGACAGAGAGGGAAAAACATGTTGCCTTTAACAGTCAGTGAAAACGCACAGAAACAGATAACAAGAGCTTGGGAAAGAGGAAATGCGGCTTGTATATACATAAAGGCTTTTCAACTTCTTACCATCTCCTTTGCAAAATTAAGTTGTTTGAAAACCCATTCATTGTTCACAGTATTTGTGTATGTATGCCTAAATTATTTATAAACATGTGCTTTTAATCTGGTTTCAATCTTTATTTTCTTCCAAAATTTTAAGGTAAATACATTAAGGCATCCAGGCAAGAAGAAAAATCTTGCACATGCTAGTCCTCCACACTCATATCCATCACAATTGCCAAAAAGGGCAAAAATGTAAAGGTAAGGAGTCAGTTGATGGACATTCCCAACTTTGGAAAACAAAACAGGTAGGAAGGACAGGCTCATTCTTGCCTCTTAAGCTGAGCAGTGCTGGAATTGCATCAGCAGCAAGAGAAGAAAGAACTTTCTCCTTGTCTTAATCTGTTTTTTGCTGCTACAACCGAATAGCTGAGATTGGTTAATTTATAAAGAACAGAAAGTTATTTTGTGCGGTTCTGGAGGCTGAGAAGTCCAAGATCGAGGTGCCCATATCTGGCTAGGGGCTTCTTACTATATCATTCCATGGTGGAAGGCAGAAACACAAGAATTTTTGCAGGTGAGATGAGAACAAAAGAGGAAGGCGCCCAAATTCATTCATTAGGAACTCAACTCCCACAATAACACGATTAATCTTTTCATGTGGGCAGTGGCCTCATGGGCTAATCAACTCCCAAACGTGTTACCTCTCAAAACTGTTGCCTTGGGGATTAAATTTCCAACACATAACATTTAGGGGACACATTTAAATCATTGCACTTCACAGACAAATATTTATACCAAGTAGGAACTAGAGCACTGTAAGAGAAGAAATATTTAGTTATAGCTGTGAACTGTATTGATTGGGTAGAGATGAAACTCACCGATCTGATTCTAGCTACAATTAGGACTTTCTCTCAAATCTCTTCAGGTGTCTGGATTTCCAAGGGGAACTTTAATCTATTTGTTTCTTGGTATTTTAAGTCACAGTTTCCCCTTAAGCAGCCTCCTCAAATGTCACCCTGTTACTACAAACCATTTATTAAAAGCTCCTCTGTTTTCACTCACAGTTGTTGAATGAGAGAAGACCTAATAGCTTATATGACCTGGTCTCAGAAGTGATATGCAATCACTTCTGTTGTGTTCCACTGGTCACACAGACAGTCCCAGATGTAATGCGGGATACTGCACAAGGTCATGAGTACCAGGAGGTAAGAATCACATGGGGCTATCTTAAAGCCTTGCTACCAAAAACTCCTTAATATTTTTGTTCCCTAGGAAAAGATGTGGACCTTTATGACTATTTTTTCTATAATGAAATGAGTAATGCTAAATGCATGTTATCAGCATATTTTTTATAGTTAGCTAATTTATCACTACAAGATTGATCTTGCCTGTTGTTAATTGTTATCACATCTCTTCTACTGACCTCTTGGCTGCAAATCAAAAAATTAATTTTTGGAGGAAAATAAGTCATTTTATGATACACTCATTATGATGGTTAATTGTGTTTGTCAACTTGACTGGGCTACAAGGTGCCATTTGGTCCTACACTCAATTTTCTGGATGTGTCTTTAAGGGTGTTTCGGAGTGAAGTTAACATTTGAATCTATAGAGTGAGGGAAGTATATTGGCCTCCTTAATGGACCGATGGGCTTCATCAATTCAGTTGAATGTCTGAATAAAACAAAAAAACTGATCCTTCCGGGAGTAAGAAGGAACTCCTCCTGCCTGACTGCCTTTCAGCTGAGACATTATGTTTTTCCTGCTCTCAGGTGTGAACTGAAGCATTGAATCTTCCCTCTAGGTCTCAGTTCTAATGGCTTTCGGACTGAAACTTATGCCATTGGCTCAGTTGGGTCTCCACCTTGCTGACTGCAGATCTTGGGATCTGTCAGCCTCCATAATTATATGAGCCAATTCCTTATGTCAGGTTGTCACTGAGGTCCAAGGGGGGTCTCTGGGCAAGTGGCAGATAGCTGGAAAAACACTCTAGGAATCGTAAACAGTTTCAACATGGCTTTTACTCTCTCTGTGGGTGCAAGGGAGCCATGAATGGCAGCAAGCTGTGGGTGCAAACAAGCCATGGGCACAAGCAATCCATGGACACATGCAAACTGTATGTACAGCATTAGCAGGGTAATTACACCTTTTACAGACAATAGTGACTCTGAGCCAAGCACGAGTGCACGTGAGTGGTTACTTAATGCACCTCGTGTGGTGTGGTTACCTAATATGTGGCATTGTGTACCTGTGCTCCAAACTTCCTGAGTCATGCTGGACCAGATGTCTGCCTTGGCCTATTCTGGACGGCAGTACATCCATTTTCCTTACACTCCACTTCCTAGGCTGAGGGAGACATAGGCCTTGGACACACAGGTCTGACATATAGGCCTTATACATAGCTTTTGGGCACACAGGTCCAACAAAGGCTGGAAACGTAAGCCTAACAAATAGGCTCTGGGCACACAGGCCTGATACATACACACAGGCCTGACACACAGACTTAACACATAAGCCTGACACATAAGCTCTGGGAACACCAGCCTGATACACAGGCTTGACTTATAGGTCTTGGCACACAGGTCTGATACAGAGGCTTGGCACACAGGCCCCTGACACACAGGTCCAACACATGTGGGCAACCACCCCATGGTTACATTACCCCAATGTTACTTTATACATTAAGCCAGGTTTTTTGTTCCCCTGCCCTTAGGGACATTGGGGCAGGAAGCAACAGGTTACAGTGCATTCCCATAGCTGGTTGGAGGAGGTCATCCTTCTTCCCATAGGTTTTGCCACATGGGTTGGCCCTATATGGGCCAGTGACTAACTAGTCAATTCTGTAACTTCCAAGTTAACCTCCTTGGTGATCACCATCCATACTGCTCTAAATTTAGCCAATTGGCTACTTTGTCCACACCTGGTTTCAAACCATATGGTGTCAGTACTAGGTTGGACTGCAACAGTGGTTCAGGCAGCAGTAGGACCTTGGCTGGACCCATCTGTGTACCATGCCCCATCAGGAATGGAGGGACACCCTTTCTTAAATGGCGATGGCTCAGGCTCTAAGGATGCCTCAGGCCCAATGGCCTTCTCTTGCATTAGGACTACAGGTCCCAAACTTCTTGCAACTCTGGTGCTAAAGGACTTGAACTCAGCATACTCCACTGTTCTCAGTAATCGCCCCACTTTGCTAAAGTGGATGTCTGTGCTGTCCGAATCCAGGGGTTCATTACCTATGGATGTATCCACCCCACTATTGGGTAAGTCATCCTCATAATGACTGTAGCCCATCTTGCCATGCTCTTATGAGCCTAAAGGGCAGCATATGAAGTTACTAACTGCTTCTCTATTGGTGAATACCAGAGCTCTTCTCACTCCCACAGTTGGGACAAAAAGCCAACTGGCATTCTCGAGTGCTTCATGCACTGCCACAGGCCCCAACCAAAACCATCTGTGGTCGTGTGCACATCCAGCTCAAACAGGTGCCCCTGGTCAACTACCTGTAAGGCTTGGCCCTGCTGAATAGCCTGCTTGGCTGTCAGGAAGGATGTCTCAGCTGCATCATCTTAATTCTAGGCAAAAGGAGCACTGCCACTTCTAAATCGGCAAGAGAATCAGAAGTTAGCATAATATCATTAGCAAGACCACAACACGTGGTGAAACTATGCACACAGCCCCGCAGCAACACTGTGAAAATCCATTGTTGCCCTCCCATGAAGGCAAACCATTCCTGGCTCTCTAGAGCAATGTCGATTGAGAAGAATGCATTGGCCAAATCTACCACATAGCGGCACCATCCCAATTCTGTAGTCAAATGGTCCATCAAATCCGTGACAGATGGCACAGCTGCCAAGCCATGTAAAATATCCAACTCCCAGAATGTATTCAGGTATGGAAGAGACATACACAGTATGGAAGCATGAAGCCAAACAGCCTATGCCAAGGTTCAAAAATACAGGTTTCACTTTCATTGACCAGCTTTCATAACTGTCTATGTATGCAGCTTTGCCCAGAAAATTATTTGGGTGCAGGGACTAGTGGATTGCTAAGTCCACATGTTGCCTCCGGTCATCTGGTGTCCCCCAAACCCGGGCACCTCAGCCACTTCCCTAATCAAGTAGAAAAGGCTCTACATTTCCTCCTGGCTGCAGCAAGTAGTCTTTGAGTTGAAGCATCCAGGCAGGACCAGGTCACACAGCAATGTCTTTCTCCCCCCTGGGCATTTTCTGAAATTTCTGGTCCACAGACAGCTGTCTCCATAAAGTGAAGAGTACTTCATTGGGCTGCTTATTGATTTTCTTAGTCAACCCCAGCCAAAACCAAATCTATCCACATCTGTGAGCATGTCACTCGTTGGGGCTCCCTTTTTACCCATGGTGGGGTGGCCCTGCAGGCAAGGCATCTTCCCCTTCTTTAAGGCATAGACCCCTTGGTCCTGCCAACAGCCTTCTGCTTCCCTGAGAGCCACCATATCAGTGGTCACTTTACATATGTGGTGCCCTACATACGGGAGAGGACAGTAACTGGAGAGACAAAAGTGCTCGGGCGCACAGAGCCCAACATGAGATCCTTCATATGGGAGGTGAAACGTCCATCAGCTGGCTCCGGGTATTCAGGTCAAATACAGCCTGTTGCATACCCATCTCCTGGATGACTTGCACCAAATCTGCATACAACTGTGACTTTCAGGTATTTCACCAGCATCATTCCACACAGTCCATATGACTGCCCACAGCCACTCGATCAGGGTGTGGTCACCTTGCCCTTATGCCAACCACCTACTTACTTGCAGCTGCTGATGGAGAGAGGAGTGAGTCTTGATAGATGCCAGCTTCTCCATCTCAGAGGTGGAACAGGATTTATTATCTGCTGCCTCATCCCAGCAATAGCCAATTCTCTTTCTGACAGTCATGCTAATTATTATTTTATAAACTATAAATAATACAAACACACTCCTCTGTTTCCTGTCTCACAGGTGATCCTTTGGATGTTTTTTAGGGCTCATGGCCCTATGTGATACCTTCTACTTGTACCCACAAGCACACACTCCTCCTGACTGTACTCTTCTCATATAGCTCTCTTGCTCCATTCTTTTGCTCCAGTTATACCGGCTTTAATAATATTCCTCAATGCACCAACAGCATCCCTGCTTTGGAGTATTCTCTTGCTGCTCCCACTGCCTGGAATTGTTTCTGCCATTATGCATTGTTCCGTCATTTTATTTTTTTGCCTTTGTCCAACATAACAGTAGCAGAGAGGCTCTCTCTAACCACCCCATCTTAAATCGCACTTCATTCCCTCATCACTTTCTTTCCCCTTGCCCTTGATTATCCTTCTTCCTAAACCCTTTGGCTTCCAGACTTATTATATATTTATTTTCTGATTTAATTATTTGTATCTCTTTAATAGAGGCTATGCTTCATAAAAGCAGGAGTTTTGTGGGACATTTTCTTCCCAGAAGCAAGAGCAGTGTTTTCAGTCCTTCACCTTCTGTTCAGCCTTCAAGCAAAGCAATATAACGCTTGTCTTCTAATGTCTGTGATAGTTCTCATTGAGAGAAAAGCTGGAGTGATGGCAGAGACTGATGTCAGAGTGTGCTTTTCTGATCTGTACCTCTCTCCTGCCCCAACCAGTTATTTAAAAGGCAAAAAAAAAAAAAAAGCCAGATATCAGAGAGAACAGAGAACTGTTAGCTATTAGACATACATTTCTATTTAAATATGTATTTTATTTTGTAACTGTCATACGCGTCCATGTGAAGAGACCACCAAACAGGCTTTGTGTGAGCAATAAAGCTTTTCAATCACCTGGGTGCAGGTGGGCTGAGTCCAAAAAGAGAGTCAGCGAAGGGAGATAAGGGTGGGGCCGTTTTATAGGATTTGGGTAGGCAGTGGAAAATTACAATCAAACGGGTTGTTTTGTGGCCGGCAGGGGCAGGAGTCACAAGGTGCTCAGTGGGGGAGCTTCTGAGCCAGGAGAAGGAATTTCACAAGGTAACATCATCAGTTAAGGCAGGAACTGGCCGTTTTCACTTCTTTTGTGATGCTTCAGTTGCTTCAGGCCATCTGGATGTATATGGGCAGGTCACAGGGGATATGATGGCTTAGCTTGGGCTCAGAGACCTGACAGTAACTCCATATGTAATTTTGCAGTTATAATAATTATTTTTCTTAAGGCCCTAAAACTGAGTATAAGTAGTTTGATTTTTGGTGGTTATATTTTTGAAGCATAGAAATAAATCTGGCATGCTACTCTATTTCACTAAAGAATCCTCTTCCAAAATGTGGTTCTCTAGGAAATACATTTTTAATTAGGACCTTTTGTGATTTATTTTTTAAATCTAGATTTGCTTTTATATCATTTACTTAATGTAGTATTTGGTTCTAATAATACTAAAAAAAAAAAAAGTAATCACATAACACCATGCTGTAGGCTGAAACAGAATAGAGTTTTGGAAACTATCATGTATAATTTTGGATCTTTCCAGTTTAGCTTTTGATTCTAATTTAATTTTCAATTTATGCCTAATGTGCTTCTTAATATGTAAGTAGATTTTTCTCCCTATAGTGCTGTTTGACTAGCTAAATATTTAGGTTCAGTTAAATCTTCCTAAAAATGTTCTACCTAGGCAGACCTTTCTGTTATCTGCAGTTAAATTTGTTTCCATTGAAGTGATCTTCAGTTCTCAACATTTGTTATTTATGGGCTTTGTTTTCATAGTTCTCTACCCTGGCAGAACATGCTTTCTTTGAAGGCAGCTAGAGTTGGTATCATCTCAAGTATAAATGTAGGTGGAACATGAAAAAGTTTGAGTAAACATTAGATATTAATTTCCACATTTGTTTAATAGAGAAGAACACTGACTTTAATAGGCTCACTGTCCAGTAGTGACTATAAACATATACAATAGTTTACATTTAACTATTTGTAAAATCATTATTAAAAAATACAAAAAGCTAATAACAATGTATGCCAATGAGGGAAGAGAGAGACCCTCTCATATTGTTTTATATTGTTTTATACTCAGTACCTGTTTTAAGAAAAAAACAAGGAAGTGAAATCAAAGACAGGCAGCCCCGCACGAGGCCCAAAACCAGGCCTGGGACTGCCTGGCCTACACCCAGTAGTTAAAAATCAACTCCTAACCTAGAAACTGATGTTATTCAGAGATTCCAGACACTGTATAGAAGAACATTGTGAAACTCCCTGCCCTGTTCTGTTTCTCTCTGACCACCAGTGCATGAGCCCCTGTCATGTACCCTTTGCTTGCTCAAATCAATCACGACCCTTTCATGTGAAATCTTTAGTGTTGTGAGCCCTTAAAAGGGACAGAAATTGTGCACTCGGGGAGCTCGGATTTTAAGGCAGTAGCTTGCCGATGCTCCCAGCTGAATAAAGCCCTTCCTTCTACAACTCAGTGTCTGAGAGGTTTTGTCTGTGGTTCATCCTGCTACACCAGATCTCTAGCATTCATCAGAGATTGTCTCGCTTTTAAGAACAGATTGTTCTCCAGTCAGTAACTGGAGAAAATGCATAATAAAATATTTAAATGCAGCATTTATTTTATATAAATATGAATAGATAATACCCCAAGGGTTGTTTTTCCTCAATCAATAATTAATTAATTAAATAGCCCACTATCTAGCACTTAAGCACTAGCTAAAATGAGGGGCATATGAAAGAAAAAAAGTGGTCATTCTACAGACCTTATTATAATTTCTATTTTTCACAAGAAATGGAAATATACTAACTTAAAGTACAAGACTGACACGATCATCATAACAGTAACACAAAGCTGAGATTTTTAAATTTCTGCAAGATGGTAAATTTACAAGGTTACAGTTCCTCTCAAATGAAATCAACTATTAAACATAACATTTGGTCAGAGGAGGTCATCTTCTTCCCATAGGTTTTGCCACATGGCTTGGCCCTAAATGGCCAACACAGCATTGGGAATTTACAAATTTGAATTTATTGTTAAACAACAATAGCAAAAATTGTGGCAACACAGCATTGGGAATTTGTTGGTTCTGAAAGATGTTGATTTAATCTGGAGCAGAGGTATCCAGGAAGAATTTTTTGACAAATTAGAATAAAAGAATACATCTCCCTGGAAAAACACATGCTCACACCAAATTGCATAAATCAGCAACACTAGCAAAAGCTTTTATTCCAGACCAGTAACTCAGCAGTCTTGCTCTGTTCAAGTGTTGAGTAAACAGTTCGGTGATTAACTACCCTGGGGCATTCACTCCCATGCACTTTCTCTTTTCAACCCCCAGGAGTAGTTCAGAGCTCACCCACCAAGCCATTTAACCTGAGGAGCTGGAGAGAATGTTCTGTCTCAAGGAATATTTGCTAGCCTTTTAGCAAATGAAAATGAGTCAGAGTTTTCTTCTGATGTCTAGGGTTTTGGTATCACTTTGTAGTTGCATACTCAAATAACAAGACATCTGAGGAGGCAAACTAATTTAAAACAAACAAAATATTAAACAAAACAACAGGAACAACAATGATCAAAAGGAAAAATTTGATTACAGATACCACTAGATGTAGAAGTGTTCCATTATAGGCATCGATGATAAAATAATGAAAATATATCATCAATTTAAAGCAAAATATATAAGTCATTTTACAAATGGGCTTGTTTATATATAAAATTATGTATAGTTGAAATTTGTTTACAAGATGGCAAAAATAGTGAAGCAAATGTATCTGAATACTAAATTATGGGTTAGAAAAACAAATGTAAGTTCTTTGTAGAAAAGGTTTCAATAAATTAAAAACAAATTAAAATTAAGTAGAATAGATGTAGAAAAATTAATAACGGGGTAAAAAATTCAAAGATCTAAAAAAAATAAAATGGAAATATTTAAATAAATAACAGAGATAAATTATCTTGAAACAAAAGCACATAAGATGCCAAATAAGAAAAATATGAAAAATTGTCACTGGAAAACATTTTAGTGAAATTCAAGACTATCAAGGACAATAAGAAAATTATAACAACTTTCAAGGTATGGTCCTATCACTTAGAAAAAATAGCAAGGATTAACATAATATTCACAGCAAAAACTTAAGATATGAAGCAATTGCAATTATATATAACATTATATATAAAGAATTATATAATATATAACATAAATAAATATAAAATATATAATTTGTATGTATAGAATATATATTATATGTGTATATATGGCAGAATATAATATATAATATATCATATTCTATATACATTTATAACATTATATATGATATATATTATGTAATTATGTATATATACCACATCTAAGATATATTTTATACAAATGAATTATATTTTTTATATTTATTCATATAGATTAAACATTGTATGCATGAAAAAGAAAAATATGGTTGGGAGACTGTATCTAGCAGACATTTTGACATCTTATAAACATCACTCATCGAAGTAGTTTTGTGTGGATACAATAAAGATTTTGAAGCAGCAGTTGATATACATAATATCTTGCTATATGAGAGATCAGTGAAAAAGAGAGAATATTCCATAAATAATGTTGGAAAAATGTGTTATCTTGTATCAAAAAATAAAAATGGATTTCAAAAATTCATTCCATCTCACATACACAAATTAAAGAGCGAAATGGGGATGTCAACATTAAAAATTTTAAATTGTAAAATAATACTTTATGACCTAGTGCTAAAGAAGTATTTTAAAACACACATGAAAATGTAAATAATGATATATTTGAGGACATTAACATTTCCTAAAAATGTGTCATGACTAGACAAGCCAAAGAATAGGAGAAAATAATTAGAATATGTTATTATATTTATGTTAAAATTGATTTTAACTTGTTCATTCAAGTTAACTAGGTATAAAGTTGAACTGTATAAAATGACTTAAAATCATCTGGGTGCGGTGGATCACGCCTGTAATTCTAGAACTTTGGGAGGCTGAGGCAGGCAGATCACAAGGTCAGGAGTTCAAGACCAGACTGGCCAATATGAGTAAACCCCGTCTCTACTAAAAATACAAAAATTAGCCTGGCATGGTGGCAGGCGCTTGTAGTCCCAGCTACTCAGGAGGCTGAGGCAGGAGGATCCCTTGAACCCAGGAGGCGGAGGTTGCAGTGAGCTGAGATCGCACCACTGCACTCCAGCCTGGGCGACAGAGTGAGACTCCATCTGTAAAAAATAAATAAATAAAATAAATAAAAACACTTAAAATTACTTCAAATATTTTAGGATAATAAATGATCAAATATTGTAAATTCTCCGTGCTTTAAATATATATATACTCTATGATCTCAGGATTTCTCTTCTAGGTATTTGCCAAAGAGAAATCCATGTGTGTGCACGCCCACCAGTCCATGAACAGAAATTGTCTTAGTATTAATATTTACAAATAAAATGCTAGGAATAACTCCTTTACAGATCAACAATAGAATGAATAAATACATTTTGCTATTTGTTTAACCAAGTTTATACATCAGGAAAACAAATTAACTCCAATACTATATAAGAAAATTGCATAAACCTGTTATGAAATTTTTAGAAAATCCACAGGAGAGTATGCAAGTATGACTTCATCAGTGCAGACAAAACCTGATAAAAATGACAAATGAAAGCAAGACATTTTTTAGAGGCTTGTAAATTTGTGATAAGGATATAATGATATGCAAGAGGATTACTAACATGATAGTTGTTTTCTGCAGGAAACAGTATAGCCAGTGGTGTAAATTGGGAAGCATTTTCAAAGGCTTCAATGGCTCTCTTTTAGGTTGAGTGGTGGTCAATTATTCACTTTTATTTGTATGTATATTTTGTGTTTTTTAATATTTAAAATAGGTAAACGTGATTGATAAGCAGGGTTTATTATTTCAGGTGAAAAGAGTGCTTTGCGGGGGGGTCAAAATTAGATAAAGGAATAAAAAAAGGACAGTGTGGCAAGATCATAGATAAGAAATATAAGAAATTGAATTGTACTAGACCTTAGGCATCTTGTGAGTAGTAATAAAGAATTTACAGAGTTTAGATTTTACTCTAATCATAAAAGAGAGCAATAAACCAATTTAGATTTTTTTTAAATATGTCAATCTGGCTGCTGTATGGGAAAGTTTGTGTTTTATTCTTCTCCAGAGTAAACAGTAGATGTGAAAATACCAATTTGGGAATTCTTACAGTAACCCCTGTGGCAGATGTTGGCTTGGATTCATTTGATTGTCACAGGGCTGAAGGGAAATAGACGGCTTTGAGCTATAATTTACAAGACTTCATGATGGATTGGATCTAGTGGTTTAAGCAGAAGCAGCTGTTGAACAATGTTTCAATGTCTTCAGCTTGAGTGACTGAAGGAAGGACAATCTATTAATGTAGAAAACCTAATAGGAATAATTGAATTGTGAATAGGGCTAGATTAAGATTTTCAGTTTGGATATGTTATATTTGGGCATATTATGTTGTGTTTAAATACTGACATGCTACTTTCTGTGAACTAGCTGAATGGAAAGATTAAGTAATCAGTTTGAATTATGTATCTGGAGAGCAGGAAAGAAACATAGCCTAAAAACAGAGAGTCATGGCTTGGAGAGACCCATGAAGGCCTGGGAATGAATGAAATCACCTAGAGAGAGGGTGAGGAAAGAAAGAAGTCAAGGTCTGAGGTGGTGATACTTAAGCAAGATGAAGTGGAAGAATTAGAAACAAAGAGAATGAGAAGGAATGGCCTGAGAAGTAAAAGAAACAAAATATGAAAACATAGCGTCAGAGAAGTCAAGAGAAAAGTATTTTCAAAAAGAATAATCTTGGACAAATGCTACAGTGAAATCGGGATAAAGGAAGACTAGTAAGTGTCTACTAGATTTGGCAAATGCAAGTCACTGGTGGCAGTAATAAAGAAAAGTTTGAGTGGTACAGTCAGTGTGGAGTACTGAAGAGTGGATGATAGTTAAGGGAGAGAAGATGATGTGTGCAGTTAACCCTGTAAAGAAGCTTCAGTTTGAACCCCAGGTGGAAAACTTGACAGCTTGTTATACAATTGTGCAATGGAAAATCAGGTTTACTTTTTTTTTTTCACTATTTTTTTTTTCTCATGAATCCTAACCTTGCTGGATAGCATGGAGTAAAGAAGCCTTAAAATTGACAAGCTTTGTCTGGTTTAGGCAACCTGTTTCTGGTAGTTTATTTTCTTTTAAATAAATGTGTTCAGCAAATATTCTCTCCCCTCTTTACTTCCTTCCAAAGATGGAACATGAAAATCCGGGGCTGTGTGATGGTGGGGGTAGTGGTTATAGCTACCTGCCCCTGGGGTAGAGGAAAAAGGACTCTTGGATTTGTATGTAAGCAGCATTTATTTTGTCTTCTGGGTCCATCATGTTGATACATCATGACAAAGCTAGATTCTGTGCACCTACCAGGCATTTCTATGTAAAGTCTACAGCTGGAATTCACAGCTACTTTGATCAATAAAGTCTTAGACAAGGGTGTCAAATATAGATAAAATAGCTATGATTAGTACATGGAGGATAATTAATAAAATAATTATGGAAATTAGAAGTAAATTAATTTTCTGCCAATGTTTGATACATGCTTTTAAATGTCAACCAAAACCCAGCTCTATCTATACAAGCCCAACCTTTGGTCAGTATCTTGTCAACAAGCAAACACTACTACTTTTTTTTTTTTTTTTTTTTTTTGAGACAGTCTTACTCTGTTGCCCAGGCTGTAGTGCAGTGGCGTGATCTTGGCTCACTGCAAGCTCCACCTCCCAGGTTCAATCGATTCTCCTGCCTCAGCCTCCCGAGTAGCTGGCACTACAGGCACCCACCACCACGCCTGGCGAATTTTTGTATTTTTAGTACAGACAGGGTTTCACCATATTGGCTAGGCTGGTCTTGAACTCCTGACCTTGTGATCTGCCCGCCTCAGCCTCCCAAAGTGCTGGGATTACAAGCGTGAGCCACCGCACCTGACTTACTACATTTTTTTATGTGATGATGATAACCAAGCCTAATACACACAAACGCAATGTGCTTATTTTCTATGTATTCATTCATTCCTTGATTGATGCTTTTACTAAAAAATTTGGAAATCTAATATTGCTGAACCCCATACTAACTGATAATGACTGAAAAATGAGTAACAGTGGCACTCTACAACAGAATGTTAGAGTGTAACACAAGCAACAACAACAACAAAAAACACTAAATGAATGAGTGCAGACTAGAAGAGAAACACTTACAAAATTTTAAGTTTGCTATAATGTATAAAACCACAAAATTGCTTGGAAATAACTAATACTATATGTCACCATATATTAATCCACTACCTGGTAATTCAATCACTTAGTAATTTGGATCACTGTGGATTGGTTTACATTTAATTAATCTTTTTCATTTACACTCCATGTATGAAAGTAAGTAGTATTTTATCAATGATAGGAAGTCACTAGCAAACCCACCGGCAGGCAAAGATCCTTATAGACACACACACACTGCTCTCAAAGCTTGACGTCTCTCTTAAAAATTAATTAGGAAAAAAGAACTCCAACTTAAAAGAGCTCATAGTCTCAGTTTCAAGAAGCGGTTTCTGTCTCTTTTTTTTTTTTTTTTTTTTTTTGAGACGGAGTCTCGCTCTGTCGCCCAGGCTGGAGTGCAGTGGCGGGATCTCGGCTCACTGCAAGCTCCGCCTCCCGGGTTCACGCCATTCTCCTGCCTCAGCCTCCCAAGTAGCTGGGACTACAGGCGCCCGCCACTACGCCCGGCTAATTTTTTGTATTTTTAGTAGAGACGGGGTTTCACTGTTTTAGCCGGGATGGTCTCGATCTCCTGACCTCGTGATCCGCCCGCCTCGGCCTCCCAAAGTGCTGGGATTACAGGCGTGAGCCACCGCGCCCGGCCCGGTTTCTGTCTCTTTAGCTAAATACATGGTGGGATGAAACTGCAGGGGACAGCAAATGCTGTTCCTAATGTTTTGGGATCTGTAATCCTATCCAATATTAAACAAGTCTCCATCAATGAGTGTATTAGTTTCCTAGGGCTACCATAGCTAAACAGTACAAATGTGGAGGAGAGGAGTAGGTATAAGAAGAGAAATATATTGTTTCACAGTTATAGATATCAATAGTCCAAAATCAGTCAAGATATTGGCAGGGCCTTATTCCTTCTGAAATTTGTAGAGGACAATTCCTTCCTTGCCACTGCCTAGTTTAGAGTGGTTTGCCAGTAACCTCTGCATCTTTTGGCTTGCAGCTGCAACATTTCAATCTAAGCCTCTGTTGTCACATGGCATCTCTCCTATGTGCCTCTGTCATTACAAGGAGTCTTTATCTTCTTAGAAGGATGCCTGTCGCTGGATGGTCCCTGGATGGCCTTGGCTGACCAGTTTCTCCCCTGTTTAATTCCTGCCTGTAATTCTCAGAATAATTGTAGAATGCACTGGGAGTACAATATCCTGAGATAAGGAGGAACTGCCTGGGGGAGGCTACGTTTTGATTCTCTCTCCTCTGGAAGGAAGATGTTCTTCCGAGCAATGCCCAGTGACTTCCGTGGACCCTGAGGTATGTAATCTGGGGTGGGCTACTTTCAGGGTTCCTCAGCTATGGTGCAATGGAGAATCCCTCTGCTTCCTTGGGGGGCTTCTTTCTTGAGCCTAAAGGAATGACTTACAGTGGATTCTAGGCTTCCTTTGTCCCCTGCTGTCTCTGTAAGAAATAAATGTGCTTCGTTTAACTTGTTGTGTGTGAGTGTGTTCTGTCTCACCAGACTCAGGCAATTGATAAAAGTGCAGCCAGAATGTGGTGGAGGTGTTTGGACTCCTATTCTCAGTGGTTGCCTTAATGATAATCTTTGCCATCCCCCAAGCTGTGAGTTCTCCTTTGGGACCAATTATTAGTGAACCTTCTTCACACGGTCATATTAGATTAGAACCAATCTCTAATTACCTCTTCTTAACTTTATTAACTGCAAAAATCCCGATTTCCTAATAAGGTAACAATCTGAGATGGTGAGGACTTCAACATATGTTTCTGAGGGACACTAATCGGCCCATAAGAATCCACATTGACATGAAAAGATAGAAGGAGTGACAGGGAGGTTATCAATGTGAACAGATCTGTTCTCTTTTTCTGATAGACAGATCTGTAACTGGGGAAAGAAAAGTCCTTTCTTCACTGGTAGTTTTTCTTTCTCTTCCCCTTACTAATCATCAAAGGCTGCAAAATGAGTGTGTATGAATGTGTGTGTGTGTGTGTGTGTGTGTGTGTGGAGAGAGAGAGAGAGCAAGCGAGCAACCCTTATGTCTCCTTAGGCGCTTTTACTCTCTTTCTGTCTCTTCCCCTCCCTCTTTCTCTGTATACATATATATGATACTATAGGAGAGGAATGTTAGTGTTTGATTAAGCAATGTTTCTGGATACAGATGACTATTCAAATTAAAAAGTCACTTTCCTGTTTGTGCACTTAGAAGTGATTTTGATCTTGCCACATCATTTACCATGAAGCCAACACTCCAATTCAAGAAGAATTGTTTTAAAAATGAAACACATAGCATTTTTACCTCCCTGAGCCTGGGAAAAAATTGCCAGGGTCAGTGCCTTGTGGACTTAGCTACAAAACCTTATTCCTGCTTCTTTTTGGTCAAAGGAGGGAGCCATCAATTCTTCTGAAATTGTTGCTGTCAGTAGCTTGCTGTTAAGATGTTTATATCTTAATCCAGAGGTTACTAACTATCAAATGTGAGTTGCTTGCAAAGACATAAATGCTAGGAGATCATTAGAATATTTAACTAAAGTAACTGTGCTTAGAAATTTCGTTTCTAAATATTGAATTATTTACTATGCAAAAAAAGAAAATGAAACTGACCTATGGTGGCAGGGCTTTTTGGTAGGTTGTATTGTTACCTGCGGGTCTCTGCTCCCAGAGCTCCCAAGATGGTGGCAAGCCTCTTGCTCTCTGACCTGGGGTTCTTGGCCTCAGGGATTCCAAGGAATGGAACCTTGGGCCGTGCGGTGAGTGTTATAGCTCTATTAGAAGCCGTGGGTCACTGAAGAGAACTGTGGAACCCAGCGTCTAGTGTTCGGCTCAATTAGGACTAACCTGGGCACTTAGCTGCGCAGGAACAATGGCGATCCCCTAGCCCTATCCGGAGCAGCAATGGGCGCCTCCCTGGATCAGAAGCTCAGGGGACACCCTGCTGGATCCGGAGGGGTGGAAGTCAGTGATGGGTCTGCGACGACGGCGATCAGCAGTGGTGGACGGTGAGCAAAAGCTCAGCTCCAGCCAGAACAAACACGGAGGGGAAGAGCGTACAGCTGCAACATTTAATAGAGTGAAAACAGAGCTCCCATAAAATAGGAGGGGGCCCAAAGGGGTACCCCGATTGGGCTCGAATGCCTGGGTTTATATCCCGATCATTGTCCCTCCCCCTGTGCTCTCAGGCGATACATGATTTGATTATTTCTTTACCCCCTGTTTTTAGCCTAATTTGTATTTTAGTGAGCCCTCTTTACTACCTGATTGGCCTGGTGTGTGCTTAGTTACAAGCCCCGTGTTTAAAGGTGGGTGCGGTCACCTTCCCCAGCTAGGCTTAGGAATTCTTAGTCAGCCTAGGAAATCCAGCTAGTCCTGTCTCTTACTATGACATCTGCTCCTACCTATAATTGAAATGAGCCAGGAAATTTAAAAACAATTTTTAAAGAATTCAGCTAAATAAAGCTAAACCATCTTATGATGAAGGTTTATGCAAGGCAGGCAATATTTGTAACAAATTATGATTAGATGTTAAATATATTGAAGAGATAACACTTAAAATTAGTGCTTTTTATGTTCTCACTTAAAAGTGGGAGCTGAACAAAGAAAACACATGGACACAGGGAGGGGAACAACACACACTGGGGCCTGTTAGGGGCTGGCAGGGGGAGGGAGAGCATTAGGAAATATAGCTAATGTATGCTGGGCTTAATAATTCGGTGATGAGTTTATAGGTGCAGCAAACCACCATGGCACATGTTTACCTATGTAACAAACCTGCACATCCTGCACATTAAAATGAAAATTAAAGTTAAAAAAATAAATAAAATAAGTGCTTTTACATTTGTCTGTAAATGAAATGCATATAGAGGATGTAGCCCCTTCTTTTAAGTCAAAGCTATCTATGCAAAACTTCCCCAATTCCTAAATAAATATTCTTGAACCACAGAGGCTTCTCCTATTATACATCATGAGAGTTTTCATGAAAAAGATCCATGAGATATCAGAATCTTTCTTTGAAGTCTCTATGTACAGAATTATTTTTGCTATGAATACACTACAGGTACTAAATGCTGGAATTGGAAAAAGTGAAAGATGAAACAATTCATATTATATCACTCTATTTGCTGTTCTTTAATCATGTAAAACATTACAGTATTTCTAGCTAGAAATTCCATTTGTGCTTATCTGCTCAACCCTACAATTTTGCAGATAAGTCAACTGAAATAGATATGTTTACTTTTTCTATCTAAGTGGATTGTAAAATACGAAATGTCAAAGAATGCATTTTACATGTTTTATAGTTTGGTAGAAAGAGTGCTGAACTGGGAATTAAGTAGAATAAGAAATGTCTTTTTCAGTAAAATATGGGAAGTTTTTTCATTGTACTGTGAAATTTCCAGAAATGATTCTTATTTGCCTTCAATTTCTAACCTCATTGTAGTATCTCTTCTGAGATTTCTTTACTAACTGTTTATAAAATGATTACATGAATAATAACAGATTTCGGACGTTATATAAGCACTTATTTATACACAAATTATAATGAAAATATTCCATTTATTTTTAAAATAAAATTGAATTTTAGAATAGTTAGACTTAAAGCATAGCTGTGACAATAGTCAGAGAGTTTCCATATAGTCACACCTGATTTCTCTTATTATTAACATCTTAATACAATGCATGGTACAATTGTCACAATTAATAAATCTTATTACTAACTTATAAATTAATAATTTATATAAATCTTAATAATATTATTAACTCAAGGCTACTCTTCATTCAGATTTCCTATTTAATGTCCTTTTCTCTTCTAGAATTCCATAAATGATATGACATTACATTTAATTTTCATGACTCCTTAGACTTCTCATGGCTGTGGAACATCAAGTCAATTTCTCAGATTTTCCATGTTTTTTGTAACTTTGACAGTTTTGAGCAGCACTGTATTAGTCCGCTGGGTAGGACTGCCCTGATATTATACCATAAACTGGGTAGCTTAAATAAAATAAATTTATTTTCTCCCAGTTCTGGAGGCTGGAAAGTACAAGGTCAAGGTGTCAGCTGATTCAGTTTCTGGCAAAAGCTCTACTTTTTGCTTGTATACAGGTACTGTTTTTTCGTATAGTGAAGAGACAGAGAGAGCCCCTCTCTCTTCATCTGCTTAGAAGCTCACAGTCTTATCAGATTAAAGCCTTGCCCTTATAACGTCATTCATCCTTAATTAGCTCCCAAAGTTCCTTTCTCTAAATACAGTCGTATTGGGGGTTAGGGCTTCAACATATGAAATTGAAAAGGGGGCAGAAGTCTATATCACTTATTGATCAAGTATTGTGTTTAATGTTCCTTGATTGTGGTTTGCTTGATATTTTTCTCATTATTAGAGTGAGGTTACGTGTTTTGCGGAGGAAGAATAAGAAAGGTGAAGTGCCACTCTCATTATACCATATCAAGGGCACATGCTATGGACCTGACTCATTAATGTTGCTACTAACCTTGCCCATCTGGGGTACATAGTGTTTGTCATGTTTCTTCACTGTAAGTGTACTCATTTCTCCAGTTTCCATATTCTGTGCTTTGGAAGTAAGTCTCTATGAGCAGCTCACGCTCAAGGAATGGGAGTCATGCTTTATCTTTTTGAAGGCAAAATATCCACAATAGTTATTTGGAATTCTTTTGTACAGAAAATTAGCCAACTTTCCATTTATTTACTTACTCATTTATTCACTAATTTGTTTTTCTCAGTTGGGATTCATGTATGTTTATTTTGTTAGTTGGGTTATAATTCAATATTACTTTATACTGTTGCTCAAACTGTTTCATCTATGGTCATTGAAAGTTTTTTCAAATGGGATTTGAGTTCTTTATCTCTTCACATATTTTTATTGTTTCATGGTGTGTGTGTGTGTGTGTGTCTGCATGTGCGTGTTTGCACATCAGCACTTACTAACTTTCTGGCTTTATAAGATAATCTGGGCTCATTTTGCTTATTTATTGCTCCAATTCTAGAACCCAATAATTCTCTAAGGAGACTTGGTTTCTTTTCATAGAGAATGGTATTAAAAATAAATATCTAAATGTAAGTTGATTCTATTAAATTTCGATGTAAATTTTACAAATTAGAAATGAACTCAGTTGTTACTTTGCATATTGAAAGTATTTTTAAAACACGTGTTATTCAAATACTGCTTTTGTCAAATTTTAATATTTTATTAACATTATGTCTTTCCCAATTTGTGTCAAACTGATAATTTTTCTGTATATTTAAAAAAGCCGTCAGAATAAGACATACATTTCCTTAAAGTATACCATTTGATATATAAAGTATAAAGCATTAGGAAAAAATTAGCTGGAACTTCCAGTTTTAACTCCAAAAGAAAAAACTTAGAAGTAATTAATCTTTTCCTTAAAAAAAAGTGGGACGAACTTAAAATCAATGACTTTTCTTTGATCCATCAGAGAAATTAAGTCAAAGGTGAAAATGCCACCTTGAAATCTGGATACATAGGTGCAGAAAGTTACACCAAGTGCTGTTTTCCAGAAACATAAGCCACCGAAGCCATAAGCAGATAAGTATACGTAAGGGATAATTTTTGGCAATTCACTAATAATTTTGATAATTTACCAGAGGCTGGGTGTAGTGTAGATTTTTATGAAAGCAAGAAACTTGTGGGTGCACCAAGCTTTTTCTCTAGGAATCTCACGAGGTTCTCTCAGTGAAGAAGTAAAGATCCCAGAACTACTCACTTCCCTACTTTTGACATGGGGAGCAAAAGAATAAACATGTTTAAATATGCCTAGAACTTTTTCCAAAACAAATCCTTACACTTTAGGAGCAAAGACTTCTCCAGGGCCTTGTCCCAGCTGGGAGAAAGGCATTCTTCCCACTTCACCGTTCTTCAGCCTTCCTGTCTTACCTAAAGAGGAAAAATGTCAACAGGAGTCAACTGTTCAAAGAAATTGTTTAGAACCACTGTACCAGATAACTGATTAGGTGGCAGGGAAAATAAAAAGCTATACCCCTGTAGAAAAATTTGAATTTCACAAGTGCAAGAAAGAGGCCACTAAAAAGCTAAAATGTAATCAGAGGATTATGAAATGTTCCCCTGCCCTACATCTTGTCACTAAAGCAGGACTCCACTCTAATGGCATGTAATAGGGTTACATCAGAAAGAGCTTCAAGAGATACTATCTGAGAAACAATACATTAAGAAGTTCATTAATCAAAAGAGAAGACAAAAACAGGGAAGCCAGAAGAATTTTTAACCTCTAATACCTACATTTATAGCAAATATTAAGCACAGTTCAACTGTAAGACAGATGGCCATAACTTCCCACATTTACTTCATTTTCTGTTACTCAGTACAATCTGTTCAGTTTTCAACAAATAATTAAAAGATACAGCAAAGGGCAGGCAAAAACTGTCTGAAGGGACAATTATCAGAACCAGATTCAGATATAACATTGATGTTGAAATTATGAGGCAGGAAATTTGAAATAACTATGGCTAATACATTAATGGTCCTGTCTAAAAACAGACAACATGCAAGAATAGATAGGTAGTAAAGTCATACATGAAAAATCAAATAAAGAATAGAAGTAAAGGTTCAAAATAAAAAACACTGTAATAGAAAGTAACACTGACTTTGATGGGCTCATCAGTAGACGTGACACTGCTGAGGAAAGAATCAGTGAACCTGAAGATAGGTCAATAGAAATTTTCCAAATTGAAATGCAAAGAGATTAATGTGTATTTTGATAAGCTCCTTAGCTTTGAATATTTTATGAGAACATCTTTCAGTGCTATTTCTTCCAAAGTCTAAATTGAGAAAGACTGTATTAAAATTGAATCTGTTGTGATTTGTTTTAACTAATCAATTTTATCCTAAGATATTCAATAAGGTATAAAATGATTGCATAATTGTCACCCTGTTTCACTTAATTTGTCAAAAAATTACTAAATTCATGCATAGTAAAATGGCACCAACCAATATCAGACAGCTCTTTAGTGTCAAACTTTCTACCAGTTAAATTAAAGGTGAGTAAATTAACTAAGTTTATCTTTTCCTTTTTATTTAAAGTAAAAAACTCAAAAACTATAATATAACCATGGTCCCAAAATAATTCCTATGCACCGAATAATGTAGAAGAGGATTTAAAGTGCATAAATCTATAAATAATTTTAGAAAGTTTTAATAGGTGTTATAAAACATGAATAAAATGGTCATCAAAACAAAAGCATCCTGAAGTGATAAAAATGCTAATAAGAGCCCACACGGAATACATACTAAAAGCTCTTCTTTTCATAATTTGCCCATCACATTGTATGAGGCTTTTTTTCTATGATATTTTACCTGAACATTAGAAGCTATTTAGTCAATGCTGTATTGTATGTAGAATAACACTGTTGCTATGTTTGCTTCATACCCCCAGGAGGCATCATGCTTCTTTTCCTGGATGAAAATCCCCAAGTTTAGACAATAAGTTATATAGTCATTCTGATTTTATTGCTTATGGTCAATCACTGACACATAATTTTTAGGTCATGGAATCAATGTCTTCTTATATTAATGTGAAAACCACAGTACTCATTCTACCTTTGGTTGTATATATTGCCTTTTTACTATTGCCATCAGCTCATGGTTGGTTTTCCCATTTTCAAGTTACTTTTTAAAATTATAATCTAATCAAATTCTTATTACAGTCCATCTCTCATTTAGTAAAGGGTACTGTATCAGCTTTAGTCATCCTTTTCATTCTTAATTTTGTTATTCTTGCTTAACAATTCCACTCCTTTCTTATTTCCCAATGTGTGGTCACAGGCTGAATCAGAAACGATACCGTCTCTGAAACCAGGCATTTATTGCTTGATTTCTCAAGACTTCAACAACTCAGCAATTATTTGAATAAAAATAACTCCTTTTACTTTCTTTCACTTTTTAAGTAATATTACATTGAAATATAATGCATTTAAAGAAAAATGCTTACAAAAATAAAACCCAGAATAAGAAATTGCATAAATCAAATGACCCTGTGTCAACAAGTAGAATGTGTCTAATACCCCAGAGCCTCTGCATTTTTTACATTTCTTTTCCTATCCACGAATCATTCTCCTTCTCCCTTCTCTTCCTTTCTCTCTCTCTTCATATATATATTGACCCTTGAACAACATGACCCTTGAGCAATATATATGCTGACCCTTGAACAAAATGGTTTTAACTGAATGAGGCCACTTACATGAACATTAAAAAAATATGTTGAAAACATTTTGGGGGATTTGCACCAATTTGAAAAAAACTCGAAGATGAAATGTATAGCTTAGAAATACTTTTTAAATTAAGTAAAAGTTAGGTATGTGATGAATACATAAAATACATGTAGATTCGTCTATTTTATTATTTAATACCAAAAAATTTAAACAAATCCATCAGAAAAATTTTAAATTGAACAAAACTTTTGCACACAAACACTTAAGGACCATACATGGCACCATTTGCCTTCATGAGAAATGTAAACAAATATAAAGATGATGTATTAAATGATAACTGCATAAAATTAACCACAGTGCATACTGCACTACTATAATAATTTTTAACCACCTCCTATTGTTATTACAGTGGGCTTAAATGTTGTGAATATCTGCTTAAAATGCCATGTGATGCTATTCATCTCCCTTATGAACCGTTTCTTCCTCCAGTAAATTGTGTATCACAGTAAAGAGTGATCTAGTGCTGTTATTGCATATTTTTCATTGTGTTTAGTGCAACATCGTAAACCTTGAATCACACCATGGAACCCATAGGAAGTGCTGCTAATGATGCTCAGAGTGTTCCCAAGAAGCAGAGGAATGCTATGACATTACAAGAAGAAGCTGAATTGCTTGATAGGTACCATTGATTAAGGTCTGCAGCTATGATTACCTATCATTTCAAGATAAATGAATCCAATGGAAGGCACATTGTAAAAAGATAATAAAATGAAAATAAATAAAAAGGGAAAAAATCCATGAAGCTATCATTATAACTATACCAGCAGCATGAAAATCTTGAACATTTTGTGAAATACCTTTTTATCTTGTATTTAAAAAGCAGCTTTTATTTGGGAATAGGATTGCTATAAGAAAGGCATACTGATAGACTCATATAATTTAAGAAAATGCAAAGTCATTATATGAAAATGCAAAGCAAAGGAACGTGGAGAATTTAAAACTAGAGAATTTAATGCCAATGAAAGGATGGTTTGATAATTTTAGAATGAGGTTTGGCTCTTGAAATATCAAAATAACAAGAGAAGTGGCTTCTGCTGACCAAGAGGCAGCAGACGAGCTCCTAGAGGCAACTAAGAAAATCATTGAGAGAAAGGATATCTACTTGAACAAGTTTTTAATGCAGAAAAAAGTGTCCTGTTCTGAAAAAAAAAAAAATAGACTATCACAAAGGACATTTATTAGTACAAAAGAGAAGTGAGCCTCAGGATTTAAGGCAAGAAGAAATAGGCTAACTCCACTCTTTTGTGCAAATGCATTTGGTGTTATGATCAGGACTGTCCTTATGTATAAAGCTGCTAACGCTGAGCATTGTAGAGAAAAGAGAAAAAACAGCTACTAGTTTTTTGGTTGTACAAGAAGGCCTGGACAAGGAGAATCTTTTTTCTGGATTGGTTGCATTGATGCTTTGTTCCTGATTTCGGGAAGTAACTTGTCAGTAAGGAACTGCCTTTTAAAGTTTCTTTTATTGTTTAATTGGACAATGCCCTGGCCACTCAGAACCCCATGAGTTCAACAACAAAGCTGTCAAAGGGGTCTATTTGTCCCCAAATACAATGTCTTTAGTTCAGTTTCTATATCATGGGGTCACAAGGACCTTTAAGGTTCATTACACTGAGTACTCTATGGAAAGGATTGCATGGCTATGAAAGAGAACCTAGATAGAACATCATGAAAGTCTGGAGCAATTACATCATTGAAGATGCTGTAGTTATTACAGAAAAAGTCTTGAAAGCCAGCAAGCCAGAAATAATAAATTCTTGCTGGAGGAAACTGTGTGCAGATATTGTGCAGGACTTCACAGAATTTACAAAAGAGCTAATCAAGGAAATTATGAAGGACTGTAAATATGGCAAAAAAAGGTGAGTAGTGAAGGCCTTCAAGGTGTGGACTTTGGAAAAGTTCAAGAGCTAGTAGATACCACACCAGATATATAAACAGAAGATGACTTGACAGAAATGAGTGCTTTCCAACCAGTGCCTGATGATTAGGAAGAAGACATAGAAGAAACAGCATTTATTTCTCTTGCATATGTTTGCAGAACTCCAGGAGTGGTAATGACTCAGACCTTGCATCTTCTGGTCTTCTTGGAGGTTCTGCTACAGTCTGCAGATCAGCTGAATTAACTTTGTTCCATGTTTCTCGTTCTCCAACTGTGGCTTGTGATACAACTGCTATGTTATCTTTTCAGAAAAGGCCTCTAAACCAATATATTAAGCACAACTTTATAAGCATAAGCTAATAATTGGTGTCATTTACAGCCACCAAAATCCCATTGGTCAATATAATCACGTGGTTAAAACTGAAACCTAGGTAATCCCAAAGACGTAGATATTAAATACTAGTAAAATAGAGTGAAAAATTAGAAAAATAATTCAATGTAATACAACAACAAGCATGTGCATATACTTAAACAGGAAAGACCTAGGCTATAGAGGTAGCTGGTGATATTAGTGATGTACAAAGGGAAGTGGGGGATCTCATTCCCTTTTCAAACAGTTTTATCATTACTTCCTTCCTTTTCCAAGTGAAAATGTGCTTTCCAAAAATAATTACCTTAGACTTTTATTATTGGAAGAGTTTTTTTCGTTAGTATCTTCTTTAAAATATCTGTAGAATTTTGTATAGCTTTCAAACTTTCTTCCTTGAAGCTCTTGGTTCTCTTGGTTCTTTTCATATGACAGGCTTCTATTTTTGCCTCTTATTTTTCTCAGTTGTCTCATCTCACCTTTGATTTTTCTCCTGTTTTATCTGATATTTAAAGACAGGAGTACCTTTTATTACAACCCTATTGCAGCATTTTTCTTCTTTGTGTATTTTATCTCTACTTTATTTAAGTCCCATGTATTAAATGTAAATTATATAAAAGTAGCAACAATCTCTGGTCTAGTCTAGGCCTCACTTATTAGATCTAGATATGCATCCAACCGTATATATGACCCCATCACAATCTCTCTAATTTTACTATCTGTATCTCCTTCTTCTGGCCAGGTAAGCTCGATACATACTCGTCTTAAGTTATTTCAAAACACAAAGGCCTGTTCTGCCAGAGTCTTTGTGTATATGTTGTTTTCTTTGTTAATGGTGTCTTTACTTACAGTCTGGACGTATTTGTCTTGTTCTTATTCCTCTAGTCTCTTATAAAATGTCAACTTCTTAAGTAAAACTTCTCTCAGCATCAAATCAAAAGAGATATTCTTTCACCTTCCACCACTAGTTTTGCTTTCTCAAATTCCAAAAGAAAAAAAAATCAATAGTACTTGTTAAAGCGTGGTAAGAAATGCTTTACACAGGACCATAATGATCATTCTTTTGGGAGACAGGCCAAGCTAATCTGACATCCTGGGGGATGGTGGAAAATAAAACTTTGATAAGATATTGAGGATGATCAGATATCGAGGATGAAGGAGTTTCTTGCTAAACTGAGTTAGGAAGTTTCTGTGTTAAAACTAAATTTTACAAATAAGTGCACAGATGGGCCTAGCAGAAGATTCAGAATCCTGTCTGAAGTTTGGCCAAGTGGAGAATCTTTGTCATTCTCTCTTGCTCAAGGAAAGAGAAACATTCTTTCTTCCTTTGAACAACGTAACTCCATTTTCTTGTTTATTAAGGTTCAATTAAATCATCTGTTGGGACTTGGTAGTACAGGATATCTCCTGGATGGTGTGAACTATCAAACCTTTAATCACGACCGACTAATTTATATTACTTTTAGTTTTTTTTTAAAAAAGCAAATATTAATATTTGAAATAATCTGTAGACTCCGTTTCTGAGTCTAAAGGGCAGCCAGTTGAAAAGATTTCTAGATGCCGACCCTGAAGCTTCTTTAGTTGAAATGAGGATAGGCAGTGGCCATCTGACAGATTTCCTGTGTTTGCAATTTGGACGTCATAAAGGTTGTTCTTGCATAAGCTGTTGTGGAGGTTTCTCTGAGTATTATATCAGGTCATCCAGCTTCAGCTTGCAGGGCATCAGAAAAAAAGCAGTTTGTATTATACCGTGTTGTTCAGCTTTAGCTTTCTTCCAGAGTTTCTGGAAAAGAGCAGTGATTCCAACCAAAAAGGATGGAAGAAAATTGAAAATGTTTGTATGAAAAGTCATAGCCAGATATTGAAGTAAACTAGAATTATTGAGACTGCAGTCCAGATTATAGATACATAATAAAACCTCAAAGAAGACAAACATGACTAAAATCTATTATTGAGTGTGCTGTAGTTTCCTTCTAAAACATAATTTTTGTCTCTATAGCCACTTCCATTTCTACCAAAGATAAAGTAAGATATTTGCAAAATAATTTGTTTTATTAAACTTTGCCCGATTATTTACATAAGTGCAGCAAGAGTAGTGATTGACAATATAGGTTCTTTTTATGTTTGTTTCACTAGAACTTTTCATTAAAAAATTTCAGATTCGAGTTGTAAACACCTCTTGACACTCTAAAGACAAGCCCAGGACCTGCCATCAGGATGCATCTGTAACACTTATATATTTTGGTGAATTCCTTTCTTAGTGAGGTACCCAAAATATCCTGAGGTTCCTAGACCTACAAGGAAATGACATTCTTGATATGGCTAGGGCTGTGTCCCCACCCAAATATTTTGAATTGTAGCTCCCATAATTCGCACGTGTCGTGGGAGAGACCCAGTGGGAGATAATTGAATCATGGGGGCTTTCCTCCATACTGTTCTTGTGGTAGTGAACAAGTCTCATGAGATCTGATGGTTCTATAAGGAGTTTTCCCTTTCACTGGGCAATCTTAGTCTCTCTTGTCTGCCACCATGTAAGACGTGCCTTTCACCTACTATGATTGTGAGGCCACCACAGCCATGTGGAACTGTGAGTCTATTAAGCCTCTTTTTCTTTATAAAAGCTGGAAATACTCAGGCTGGTTTTCCAAAGGGGGCTTTATTGCCATAAAGTAAATCTTAGTTTCTTGAAGCTCTTTGGTCATATCTGAAAATGTGACATTCCAGTGAAAGTCTTAGTAATGTATCAGTTTTTTCAATTATGTCCTGTTATGAAGAAAGTATATTATTATTGAACTTATGCAAATTACTATCTTGACATAAAAATAAGAACACAAATAGTTGCCAAATTCTGGAGTAAATATGTAAGAAGAAAAAGTATTTCCTTTATTGATCCCAAACTACGCTTTACTGAGTTGCTGAAAGCAATTAGCTTAAAAGAAAAAGGTTTTCTTAAATCTGGACAACAAAACATTTAAGGAATGAACAATGTTTCAAACAAAGAATCATTAAAAATTATCCTTGTTAGTTCATTTAGTGTCATATTGTTAATTCTTGACCTTGGTTAGCAGCTTTATTAAACCTCAAGCTTCTTCTTTAGAGTTTTGGAAATTCTTATCCAGTGCAATGGCATGATCTCAAAGTTACCAGAAACCTATATTCCAGAGCACATGTTAGAGTATTTTTAATAAATGTCCTGAAAGAAGAGGGACTGTTAGACTGTAGCTGATTGCATGCTTTTTGGGAAGAATTAAAGTAAAACAATAGCTGTCTATGAAAACAAAGACTTGAAATTATTATGGGTAAAATTCTTCTGAGAGTACATGTGTAATAATGACACAACTGACAAGGACATTTGGTTGTTTTAGTGGCATACAACATTTTAACATAATAAACAAAATTATAACTAACTGAGAACATGTTAGATTTCTAGAGATCTCATAGTATATTTGGAACAATGATATCAATAATATATCCACAAATACAATTTTTAAATTTTTTTAAAAAAATTAAGCATCATTTATTTGACAATGCTTCTCATATAATTTAACATATAAATAAGCATAGTTAGTTGAATATCTCTCTTCTACAAGGTTCGAGACATGTTCTTTGAGTTTTGAAGGTGACCAACTAGAAAATCCCAAAGTTAATTCAAAGTGAAAAGGCTTAAAACTTTACTTTGAGAAGTTTGTCAAAAGTGCCAAATGGTTTGAAACACTTAAATAAGTATGATTTTAGTTATCTATTTGTTCTAAGTGACAAGAAAAGATTTTAAAGAAATATACAGAAAGTTACATAGTTGTAAACAAAATTAATATTGAGAAGAATCATGTTGCTTAAGTAATCAAAGACCTAATAAAAGACAAAATGAGGTACAAGAATCTATCCTGATAAAATGCAAAGCCTTTATTTTATAGGCCAGATGCCTAAGAGGTAAAGAAAAATCTTCCACAATTTTCTGTTAAGAACAGATAAATATTTTCTAAATACTGTTGTTTTGACAGAAAAGGCTAAATTTTACTTTTACTGACTATTAAAACCAATTTTAATAAAATTGTATACATAAATTTATCCAATCTCAGTCAGCTTTGCCAACACAAGTTAAGATTTTTACAACCCCTTTTATCTCTCTCTTTTTTTCAACTTATGTTCAGCAAGCAATCAACAATTTATTTCAGTCTGCATTCTACATTCTGCTCTCAGATTGGACTTATAATTTTGCAAGCGTAAACACCTAGCATAGAAAACACAAAGTTTTCTGACTAGCAAACCCAGGCAAAAATGCATGTCTATATTATATTTAATGCTCACAATTCTGAAAACTTCCATATTTTTATTTTACACACAATTTTATGCCTAGTTTTTATTTATCCCAGATTATGTTAACTTAAAAAAAAATTTGGGTCAGTTTTCTTTTTTTTCTGAGCATTTTATGCATGCTTAATTTGTTTTAGTGCTCATTTATCCCTCAACCAATTTGGGTATTTTAGCTTGGTAATATCACTGGGGGTAGAAAAATATTTTATATAAACAACACATAAATACAGAGAGATACATATACAAATACATAAAGACACAAACAAATGAAACCAGATACTTAAAAAAAATAAATCTTTAAAATTTGTAGTAATGAAGCAGTAAAAGACTCACTGATTTATCTTTATGTGAAAATAAATTCTGTTTATCTTCACTCTATATGAAGATAAATTCTGTTTAATCTTTACTCCATGTGAAGATAAATTCTGTTTTTGATGAAAATAAGATAAGTTGAGTTTACCTACTCAATAAAAGCTAAAGCTTTTTAATGATATTTGTGAAGAAGGCGACTAAGATTTTTCATTTGCCCACTTTCCAAATAGTGTCCTGCTCTTGTCTCTTTTCAGCCACAGACGCTTGCCTTTGAGGAGACTACGCATCCCTTGACAACTCTCAATGGAGGCTACAGGACTCAAAGTTCCAGTGTTTGATGGGTTGGAGTGGGAGGGAAAATTGTCTCACAGGGGTAAATCGAGTTTGCAGAGCATATAATCAGCAGGTGTTTAAGAAGAAGGGTTTTCTGTAATCCCAGTACTTTGGGAGGCTGAGGCGGGTGGATCATGAGGTCAGGAGATCGAGACCGTCCTGGTTAACACGGTGAAACCCTGTCTCTACTAAAAAAATTACAAAAAATTAGCCAGGCGTGGTGGCGGGCGCCTGTAGTCCCAGCTACTCGGGAGGCTGAGGCAGGAGAATGGTGTGAACCCAGGGGGCGGAGCTTGCAGTCAGCCGAGATTGCACCACTGCACTCGGGCCTGGGCGAAAGAGCCAGACTCCGTCTCAAAAAAAAAAAAAAAAAAAGAAGAAGGGTTTTAGGTGACAGAGAATTTCCCATGGGACAGACAGGGCCCAACAGAATAAAGAAGTCTCGTGGAGAGCCAGAAAGAAGGACTTTTAGCCCAGGGAGTCAGGGAATAATCTCTACTCAAAAATAGAGAGCCAAAAAAAAAAAAAAAAAAAAAAAAAAAAAAAAAAAGATAATTACAGCCCAGCAATTCAGGGAATGGTTCCCACTCAGAACAAGGAGCCAAGAAAAGACCTTACATCCCACGGGGTATGTTTCAAAAAAGCCTGGGATTTTAATCCAGCTTTGGAGAGTATCCTCATATCTTAAGAATCAAAATTTGTTTTTACCAGCTGTAGCTGATGTTTGTCTGGGGCAACGTTTCAGGAGTCTGACTCTCCAATTGATTCTCACTCAGCCAGAAATGAAGACAAAAGCTTCAAAGGAGTGTACTTAGGGTCCTGGGTGAGAGACCTAGGAATCTAATGATAAATCTGGTCCTATCTGTCATCACACTATAACTGTTAAAGAATGATTAAATGATACTTGTTAAAGCACAATAAAAAAAGACTATAATCCAAACCATTATATTTGTTTTAGGGACCACTTGTAGTGTGGGAAGAGATATTGGACTCAATTCTAAATACAACATGGAGAAGTGGAAATATATACCCATGAAACAGTGTACATATCAGTAGATAGAAAATTACTAACAGAAAACATCAGGGGTAAGAAAGATTCTGGCTAAACTGCTCAAACATGACGCTTGCTGAAGACAGGCCAAGGTGATCAGACAGCATTGAGAGGATAGTGAAGAATGAGAGATCTGATCTGCTATCAAGGAGTGGGAGAGGAGAAGTGCTTGCTAAACTGACTTAGCAGGGTTCTTTGCTAAAACTGGAATTTGCAAGGAACTGCACAGATGGGCCTAGCAGAAGATTAAAAAGCCTGGCTACCATTTGGTTAAGAAAAAAATACTTGTCAAAATATTTTATTTCTTCGGTTTCTTAACAATCTTCCCACTTTGAAACCATACTTCCATTTGTTTCTTTATTTATGGTTATTCTCTTCCAGTAGCTGCAGGCTACATAAGGAGAACATAACTGATTGCTGTTCCATTCCATGCATAATGATTAGTAGAATAGTTAAAACTTAATAAACTATCAATATTTGTAGAATGTCTTAATGAGTTATTTTATATGACCTTTACTACTTAAAATGTTGAAGTAAAATATTTATCAGAGGTTAAAAAGTATGGCAATTAAAAAAATTGAAATAATATTCAATAATACTACTACTAACATTTGGAAATATCAATTTCCAGATAGTAAAGGATGGACTATCAATGTAATTTATTTTATGACTGAAATGAGCACAATTATTAAATTGATCCAAATAAATATGGTGTCTTCAATCGATAAGAAACCAAGAAATGTACCTACTTTGACAAAATGTTTGTATAATATAGATATATTTTATTTAAGACATGGATAAAACTATGGAAAGTTTATAATGCTGAAATTACTCGAATAGTTTTTATTTAAGCAATTATACTATGTTATGGGCAGGAGTTATGTAACATCAAAAATATGTCTGTCAAAACATTCTAATCTGTGTTTAAATACTGACACTACCACTTTCTACTTGTAGGAATGTAATCAAACTACAAAAATGATTTTGATTGTTAATTCATCAACATATTAATTAAAAAGAACTGATAAAATATTATGCACGATAAACAGATGTGAGAATCACAGTTACATTTTTGACAAATATAGAACTCAGTGAATAAAGTTATTGTTTTTAATTTTTTTTATTACTGGGAACATTGCCTTTATTATTTTCCATTCTAAATGATGATAATTTTATAGTAATTTTATCATTAAGCAAATGAAAAAAGAAAATATGCAATAAGTAATGTTAATCTTCAGTGTATCAGATAGTTTATACTATTTTTGTCTCTTTATTACATAAGAAAGAATTAGAAAGATAACACAACTTGTTCATAGACTCACAACAATGGGAGAATTAGGGCAGAACTAATGCTTAAGGGCCAAGGTAAAGCTTTTCCTCTACTCTCTAAAGATTCACTGAAAATGAACTAAAACTGGACAGATGAATAGGCTAAAAAGCATGTGCAATATTTATTTAATGTGTATAGCATGGAGGAATAACAGGAGAATGATTACTCAATAACTGAATAGGTCCAGATGCTTATATACACTTCTTAATAGCGGGAGGAGAGATGAAGGATAGAAGAAAATTATTTTCAAAGGAGATGAATAAGCCAAAAGTACAATGTTCTGGAACAAAGTTCTTCTGAGCTATGAGGGGAAGTGGCAGGAAGGTGAGATGTGAAACTTCAGTGTGAACAATGTTAGTCTTATTATGTAAATAAAGTATTCCAGATAATCTCTTAAAGCTGCCTTCAGAATAAATAATAAGTATGTCTGGACATGGCGAAGACTCCCAACCTACGGAGAAGTTCTTAAGACAATTATATGTCTTCTGGAAATAAGTTTTCTTAGATAAAGAAATTCCATAGAGAGTCTGTCCTGTTTGCTTCCGAAAAGTGGATAAGAGAACAGGAAAGCAGGGGAAGGTCAGAAACCTTGAGGCTTCTTTAGTCCAGCATGTCAAAGTGCCACATTTTGGAGTATCATTTTCTAAATTTTCTAAGTCCCAATAATACAAACAGGAAAATAGTGAATTCAAAAGTAAGATTTGCATTGTCATATGTAGCATGTATACAAAGCTACCTTGATTAATGGAACATAAATAATTAGATACTGACTTTACTTTGAGGAAATCCTAATTTATATAAATCTCCATGGTAGTATTAAAGATTCCTCTCATTGTACCCAGTAGGTTCTTCTTGCCCACTGCACAGAAAAGCCAATACACTGAGACAAAAGGATTGCGGCAGAGGATGAGTTTAATAATCACAAGGCAGCAGAGCCACAGGACACTAGATATTTCTCAAGTCCACCTCTCTCAGAACACATAGGCTAGAGTTTTTAAGGATAATTTGGTAGGCAGGGGCTAGGGAATGGGTGTTGCTGATGGGCTGGGGATAAAATCATAGGGATATCTAAACTATCATTGTGCACTGAGTCAGTTTCTGAGTGAAGGTTACATGATTGGTTAGGTTAATTCCTTGGTATAAGTCATGAGTCTGGACAGAGTCATTGGTAGCCATGATGCAAAAGTCTAAAAAACATCTCAAAAAACAGTCTTAGGTTTTATAGTAGTTATGTTATCTATAGAGACAGTTGGGGAAGTTACAAATCTGGCTACCTCAGGCTACAAGACCCCTGAGCAGTAAGCAGCTGCTTAGTTATAAAGATTAGTTATAAAACAATCACTAGTTACAGTTTACCTATACCTAAATCCTAACAGAATTCAAGCCCCTAAAATAATCCAAACTTGTGGTCAATTTATTAGTTTTAAAAAGGCGATTTTGATCCCTCAGCAAGGATGGAGTTACTTTGGGGAAGGAATGTTTTCATTGTTGTTTTCAAGTTAAACTTTAAATTTCCCTCATAATTAGCTTGGTCCATGCTCCGGAATGCGCAAGTAGAGTTAGGTTGTCAGGTGGAAGCAAGATGAAGTCAGCCATATTAGCTTTCCCTCACTGTCATAATTTTTGCAAAGGTGGTTTCACCATCAAAGAACCCAACACAATTGTTTATTTTTAAGAACAGACATTATAATATAAATGTGTGTGTGACTATTATGTCTAATATACTATAATAAGAATGAATAACTAAATAAATATATAAATATGTCTTTAACATGTACATAAGGTGAAACCCATGCAGCTTGCATCTTATATTTTGTTTAGAAATGATTCTACATTTTTCACTATATGAGTACATAGTAGTATGTATGTTAAATGAAGTTTGTTCTATTAGAAAAATGTTGAGGCTTACCAAATAAGCTTTCTTGGGAATTTATATACCTACAACTTGTTAAATTAGGGAAATTAAATCAGTGAAAAAGCAGAGATTGTTGCAGATATTCTACTGTCTTGGGAAAAGAGCATAGACTAGTTATTATCAATTGGAATCTGATTTTTTTTAAAAAAAGAATACTCTCCTAGGGAACTCCTGTCAACTTATTTGTTAAATATTTTTTGGAGAATGGATTTAAATTGTCTTACAATCTTTATATTCTGCCAGTCAACAAATAATCATAATACCTTCCATAGCTTATTAGTATTGGTGAGCAGACATAGCCCAAGAGTTTCCATGGAAATTTTGGGGAGTCATAATTTTCATTTTCATTAAAGTCTTGCTTTACCAGAGGATATGTTACATTCTCAGTTGATTTGCATAAATTTGTGAATAACAATCCTTCTTTGGACAATAAAATATGGTTTTACTGAAGACAAAACACATTTCCTCATACAAAATGTAAACCACAAATGATTTACACAATAAAAACTGAACTCAGTTATTAACTATATTTTAACGTATTATATGTAAAATTATCCTCTGTGGAACAAATTGTTTTATACCTGTGCAAACTACCTCTTTCTGGTGTTCTATTTATACAAACTAGCCTCCATTTTCAAGAGATTTATAAAGCAGTTCATTGTCCATAATTGTTCAGATTTATCTCCATTCCTCTGCGTCAAAACACTACACATGGATGTGCTTTCTGAAATAATTTAAACATTTTTATTCAAAGCTTTTAATAATTTTTACAGCATAACTTTAACATTTGAATTTTGAAAATGCTTCTAAATTAAAGCACCTTTAAAATGCTTCTAATTTAAAATATACGTTTTTTGCCCTGAATACAAATATTATTATATTAAAAATAAAAAAGTATGAAAACCACAATTCCATGCATATGTTTAATGTAAGATTAGTTGGACTCTAAAATTAAAAATGTAAAAAGAACCACACATGTGACATTAAATGTTAATGCTTTGGTATCTAATCAAGTGAGGCATAATGGGATTATATAAGTCAGAACATTTTTAAAAGAAATAGAAGTATATTAGTAAATATTGAGAGAAATAAAAAATTAAGACCCTTGCATTGGTTATAACCAAGATGTTTAATTCTTGATAATATAAAATAGAATTGTACTTTTCAATAGTAGGTTTAATTGGTTGGGTTCCTTATATTTAAGGAACTAGAAATAAACATTTAAATATTAGTTGAATAGAAACTTCTAAAATTAATTATTAAAATATCTATTTAAATAGTGGGTAAATATTTCAAATATAAAGTAAAATGCTTTATATTTTATTTTATTTTATTTTTTGAGACAAGATCTCACTCTGTCACCCAGGCTGGAGTGCAGTGTGGCAATCACAGCTCATTGTAACCTCTGCCTCCAGGTTCAAGTGATTCTCCTGCCTCAGCTTCCCAAGTAGCTGGGACTCCAGGTAGACACCACCATTCTTGGCTAATTTTTAAAGAAATTTTTGTAGAAACAGGGTTTCACCATATTGTCCAGGCTGGTGACAAACTTAATTTATAATTAAATACAGAAAAATATTTTTTTTTCATAAATTTAGTACAACCAGGTATACGGTGTTCATAAAGTTAACAATAGTGTGTGGTAATGTCTTAGGCTTTCGTATTCAGTCACCATTGACTCACTGGCTCACCCAGAGCAATTTCCAGTCTTGTAAGCTCTATTCATAGTAAGTGCCTTATACAGGTGTACAATTTTTTATTTTTTATACTGTATTTTTATTTGTTCATCTTCTATGTTTTCATATATTTAGGTTACAAATACCTCTCATTGTGTTACAGTTGACTACACTATTCTGTACAGTAACTTACTGTACAGATTTATAGTTTAGGAGCAACATGCTATACTTTATAGCTTAGATGTGTGGTAGCCTATATATATACATACATATATATAGATGTAGTACAGGTATATAGTCTATGGTATTTGCACAATGACGAAATTGTTTAAGGATGCATTTCTCAGAAAGTATCACAGTGGTTAGGTGAAGCATGACTGTAGATTAATGTTTTTTGTTGAGTTCAGGAATGATATAATGGGATTTATTACAATGTAAATATACATTAGTCCTTCGGTCCCTCACACTGCTAACTGGTCCCCCAATTTGTAATTAACACAGGTTTGATTGGAATATTACTCATAAATTAATTCATCAGATAAAAATAGTCAATGCAGACTTCTAGAGACATTTTGATTTTTTCACTATTTAGGTTTGTTATATGGAGCCTCAGTTTTGCAGTAAATAAACTTATTTACTTACTTTCCTTTGTTATCTTTAATTTTATTTTTGAATACAACTATTTTTAAGTAAGATAATCAATTTCTTATTTTTAATTACATATTTAGGAAAAATACCACATTCATAAATTAGCGATAATCTAATGGAGTAGACAGACTGCTAAATTCACAATGAAAATCAATGTGAAGCTGTAAAAGAAGCAGACTTGAATACGGATGTTGCAGAGTCTGTGGGCTTTACTCATCCATACTTCTGTATATAATTATAGATGTTTCAAATCAAGGTTTAGAAATTTCATAATGCTAACTGCTATAATTTGTATATTTGGTCTCTCCAAATCTCCTGTTGAAGTGTAATCCCCATTGTTTGACATGGGGCCTGGTAGGAGGTGTTGGGAAAATGGGGATGCATCCCTCATGAATGGTTTTTTGCCCTTCCTAAGGTAATAGGGATGTTCTTACTCTGTTAGTTCACGTGAGATCTGGTTGTTTAAAAAATGGTGGCACCTCCCCTTCTGTCTCCTGCTTTCTCCCTCACCATGTGATACACTGGATTCCCCTTCACCTTCTGCCATGATTGTAATCTTCCTACAGGCCTCACCAGAAGCCAAGTAGTTTTTTGTTTGTTTGTTTTTTTGTTTGTCTTGAGAAGGGGTCTCACTGTTTCACCCAGGCTGGAGTGCAGAAGGTGAAGGGGAATCCAGTGTATCACATGGTGAGGGAGAAAACTTAAAAATGGAATGTTATTGTGTGATTCATTTTTAGTACATAAACATTATTGACTTTAGTGTAATTGAAATAACAATGTTACTCATTATTTTTCAATAAGAATGTTGTTAGAATTATCATTTTTCCATTTTATACGTATTTTACTCAAATATGAGAGTGTATGTATTTATATCTATCGAAAACAAGGCTCACAATTTGGAAGAATGCTCCACCTGACTGAACACATTTTCATCTTTACCTAGGAATCCTCCTTTTTATTTCAAGAACGAAGCAAAGTTAATTATCTCTAAGTCTTTTATCTGCAAAATTTACAATGTAAACATTTGGTTTTGTATTATTTTATATATTTTTTATTTCAGGGCTTTTCAGCTAACAGTCGAGCTCAGACATATTTTAGTTCCAGGCTTCAGGCTTCCAGCTAAGCCAAATCTATTTGTGCTAACAATCTCCAACAGCTGCACTCTGTATTATCTGAGACTTCTGGGAGGTCTTCCAAGGGAACTCCAAATAGAGCATATTGCAGTGATCTAGTCTGGAGTGCTGAAAATAATGTTCCACCTGCAATAATTTCTGTGCCACAGAAAACTTGCGGTAGCTACATAGTACTCTGGAGAGAGAGAGAGAGAGAGAGAGGACAGAGACAAGATAGAGAGAGGGTGGCCTACGACTATTTGTTTCCAAAAGTTTATTCATCCTATTTATCCTCCTTTTGTCTATCCCTTGGCTTATTAAGGATAATGAGCTGTTACCTCAATCACTCCCACCCACCAGGGGTCCCATTCTCTTTCCACATTCTCCCTCCTTCCTTTTATTGCTTCCTATGATGTGAGCAACAGCCCAGGGAAAGAACTGGAGTGAACCATATAACATCATTGCTATTAATGAGCTCAAAAAGCACAGTCCATGAAAGTACACTAGTTCTGTAGAAGAAAAAAGAGTGGAGATTTTACCACCCATTATTCAAATGATGAATGAACACACTGCTATTTCTGTGAGACAGATGAACAGTTAGAGATGGAGAGGGTTGTTCAGAGGGACTGTGTCAGTAAAGCCACCACTTATGAAAAATGACTGCAGCGCTGTGCTTTATCGGCATTAATGGTGCTTAAAATGCACTCTTGAGCATACACATATGCTTACACTAGTACAGAGGTTTGACAGCATTTGCTCTTCCTAGATATTTTTTAACCAACAGATGAGTGAAAGTGATTTCTAAAGTTCAGCTTCATAACTTTTCTAATAAAAAATGAGAAACTTTTGTTACAGCTTGATAAATGATTCTACCTGGAGAAAATTCTCAGAACCATAACCATTTTTTACATTGAGATGTGCCAAAATGCTTGAAAATGAGTTAGGCAGCTGACAGACTATTCTATTTGCTAGTTCAAGATATGGTCTTTAGGCATTTGCTTCTCTTCCTTCCATCTGAATACCTTAGTCAGGAAATTACTCTTACAGTGATATAGAATTCCATATGAATTCTTGTCCAGTATAATTATAGAAAACCAGTGTCAGAAAGTTGAATTTTTTAAAGCTTTAGCCCAGTAGATAAATTTTTCTGTGGTTTACATGAGTAAATGTTAATTTATGAAGAAGATAAAGTGTGTGAAATGTTAACATATGCCATATTTTGGTCCTAGCAGTGTTTCCAAAATTGATCAAAAAGGATAATTTTAAATTCACATTTCAGTATGATTTTAGCCAGTTGTACAATTCTCAATATGTATTTCTATTTATTCTACACATAATGTTTTGAAGAAAATCAGTAGTATTTCTTATATTACTTAAAGTGACAAATTCCCTGAACTATATAAAATAATTTTATTTGTACTTAGAAAAGGGTGACAAAGAATTTTTATACCATTATTACTAGCCTGACACCAAGGTTTTGAGCAACTGGCCCAGGAGGAAATTCTTCTGCTTCATTAAGTTGATAACACTGGCTATAATGATAAGCGGTTACAAATGTAGAGCAAATTAGCTCTTACACTCAGATTTAACATTTTGACAATTTCATTCTAAGTATTCGTAGAGATGTATTAAAAAAAAAAAACCAAACATTGCACAAGATGTTTCTGAATATAAATGTAAATGTATAGGGGGGAAATGATGTTAAACTTTAAATCATGTGTTTATGGTATTAGTTATAATCAATAAAAGTGTTTTACATCTGACTTTTATACCCTCAATTCTGCCTGCCAGTCTTCCTTTCACAAAGGTCATATTTAATGCCCAAATTGCCAGTTCCACAGACTTTTAAAATGCTCATCTCAATTACCTCTGTATATCACTTGTCCATTCTCTTGCTGGACTTTGTTTCTGCATTATTAACTGTTTCTGAGTCTCCTTCTGTCTTTAGGATTACTCTTGGCTGGCTTATCCTATTTTAAACTCACTGATCCAGGCTTGCTATCATTCTCTCCTATTGTTACTGGACCAAAGTTGGGTCCGCCTGCCTGGTGCTGCAAAGCTGAACCCTGACATTGGGACTGCATTGAAAGAAAGTGAGATATTTATTGCAGAGCACTACACAAGGAGAACTGGGCAAGTCATGCCTATGACTCAAATTCCCAGAGGGTTTACAGGTAAGGAATTTTAAAGATGGACAGGCAGAGGTTCCAGGCAAGATCACATCAACACATGGAGGCCATCCATTGGTTTGGCCTAAACAGGCAGGCTCTAAGCAGAGCCCCACAAGTCCTAAGTGGATTCAGAGATTTTCTGATTTGGGATTGGTTAGAAGCTTCATCTAAAGATTTGAATCAGCACAAAAGAATGTTATCTCTGCCCTGTGGGTGTGACCTCCTCCGGGCCCCTCAGGAAGAAACTTAGAACAAACAACGGTGGTCCACGTTCAGTCCTCACTTAGCCCTTCCCTGAGGTCCACATGCCGGTGGATCCACTTGGTGGGGGTCTGGGTTTCTAAAAACAACTCAAAGACATATATTAAAATGTTAAATTTAGTTTTTTATAGAGAACAAAAGATCTTGTGACTCTAACTCCTTTGACTTTTGTTTTAAGCTATTATTACGTCCCGCTTATCAAGTTGTTCATTTATTTCTCAGCGTTTGCCTGGAATTTCTCTTGAAGAAACTCAAAATCTTCCTTTATTTCCATGCTGAGGGGGGCCCAGACAGGCCCTTAAGAGAGGTCCCTGTGCTATCTTTCTATCCCCTGAGTGACCAAAGCTTCAGCTAGAGCCTGTAGAGTAGGACTTTCATGATGACATTTCCCCTGGGTTCCAGATATATTATTTCTAGTCATGGATATCTCATGCAATTGGGGACATTCAAGAAAGAATTCTCACCAACTTGTAAATATATTTTATGCATACTATCTGTCTCAATGAATAGATGGTAAAGCCTCTGAGGGCAGAGACTATGTATCTTTCTTTCCATTTTAAAATTACTTTTCTTATTGCTATCTGGCAGAGTCCTCCCTTCCCTGAACCACTCTGCCGCAGCCCTCCCCTCATCTCTTCAAATGACACAATCATCTGGAAAGGGGCTGTTTCACAGAGGTCTGAGTTCAGAATCCTTTCCTACATGTTGCTGGGTTCTAAAACCCTAACCTCATGTGTTATTGTCCCAGCCATAAAAATGATTGGTGCTTCCTAAAATCACTACAACTGTGGTCCCTTAGTATCCACTCTTCCTTTGTGTTCAGACCTCCAGCATTTTTTCCAAATTCTCTAATTTAAATTCTTTCATTAAAAAACACCGCAATTTTAACTTTTCTGTTTTGATCCTGAACAGTCACAAATGTGTTACTAGTAGTTTCTCACATTATGCCTCCCCATTACACTTTCTTAATAGAGGCTTCGATGTATCAAAGTTTTTACTTATAATGAAGTCAATTTATCTATTCATTTTTTTTCAACAGTAATAGTTTTTTTTGTGCATACGTAACAAATATTTTCTTGCTCCAAAGCAAGGTATCTATTCTCTCATATTAACCTTTGGGGAATTTATCTTCTCAAACGTTTAACTGATTTTTTTTTTTTTTTTTTTTTTTTGGTATACGGTTTGAAAAGAAATGATTCTTTTTTTTTTTTTTAACCCCTTAACATATACATAACAATTACTCAGGATAGTTTTTTTTGAAATACCGTTCTTTCCACATTGTCATTTCAGATAGCTCTGTTTTATATCCATTTCTACACGCGTGTTTATTCTCTGAAGTCTTCATCATGGTCCACTGGTCTCGTTTCTATCCAGCTACCAAAGCCTCACTTTTTCAATTACTGTAGTTGTATCCAGTAACAAGCTCCCATCTTGTTTTTCTAAAGATTAGGGAAAAGCCATAGCCTTTTTAGTATAAATGTGAACGCGTTTTAGTTTTTAAAAAAATGACCCTGGAATTACATTGACTCCATAGATTAATTTAGAGAGAATTAACATCTTTATGGTATATGTGAACACCATTGAGTTTTAATCTTTTTAAAGGACCAACTTTAAATTTTATTGATTTTCTCTTTTTTCTTCTTTTCAATTTGATTGACTTCTGTTCTAATTTTTATCTTTGATTTTATCATTCTTGCTTTTGACTTAAATTATTCTTTCTTCTTTAGTTTCCAAGTGTGAAAGTTACATTATTGATTATAGATCTTTATAGTTTTCCAATAAATTAATTTGATTGTATACATTTAACTCTAAGCACGACTTGTGCTGCACCTCAAAAATTTTGATAAGCTATAGTTTTAAATTTGGTACAAATATATCTTACTATTCTGGAAATAAATTCTTGACTCATGGGTTAGTCAAAGCTATGTTTTGTAATTTCCAAATATTTTCAAAATTTCTAGTTATCATTTTATTATTAATATCTAGTTTAATTCTGTGTGTTCTGAGAATGTTATGGGTTAAATTGGGCCTTCCCTCCAAAAAACATGTGGAAGACTTCAACCCAAGTGTCTCATAATGTGACCCTATTAATAAATAGAGTAATTACAGATGCATTTAATTAAATTAAAAGAAAGTCATATTGGAGTAGGGTAGGCCCCTAATCACATATGATTAGTATCCTTCTATGAAGATGACCATGAAAAGATTGTTAAAAGAAACACCTTAGCCAAATTAAATTTAACACAGTTTAATTGAACAAATGACAATTTACAAATCAGGCATCTTCCTGAAGCAGAGTAGGTTCATACAGACTCCAGTGAAGCCATGTGGTGGAAGATTTATGGAAAGAAAAAGGAAAGTAACATACAGGAAACATGAAACCAATCCATGTCCTGACCACCTTGGGCACATGTTTCAGGATCTCCTAGGCTGTGTCATGGGACATTAGTCACTCATATTTGGCTCGGAGCAAATGAATGTTTTATAGAATTCAACTCTTCTGTCAACATAGTACAAGCTTTACTTGATAAATGCTAGAGCTAAATTTTCTGTGTTTTTTTTATGTTCAATGAATGGTCAGTGTATTGGAAGATGTGGATATTGGCAAACTCTAGCAGTTGAAAATAGAGTCAAACTAGTTGGTCATAAAAAAGAAATGATAGTAAAGCAGAATTAATGTTTTTGGAAATATAGATAAGAAGGGAACAATAAAGTCAAAAAGATTAACTGATTCTCAGAGAGTTTTATCAAAGGTGGCAAAAAATAGATACTAAAGATAAATAAATTTAAGGTCAGGAATATAATGAAAATGTCCTTTAAACATTACATGTCAGGACTCAATGTCAAGATGAATTAAGAAACCTATGAAACTTATATTGTGTTAGTGTAAGAGACAATCGGAAGATAACTGCAGAAAATTGGTATCATATTGAGAAATTAAGTTTATAGAAGAATATCATAGATGTAAACAAGGCTAGGACATTTTATCAGAAAGCTCAATCATACTGTAAGTAAGCTAGGCAGGATACAAGTAAGTCAAGTTCAGGCCTGATGCATTGGTAAGTGTTAAAATACAATTGATAATCTTGGATCACAGACTTAATAAGTGTATAGATTACTGAGGACACAGATTTTTTTTTTTTTACACAAGAAGCACTTCTTTCTTACTTCCATTAATTATTGTGATGAGAGATTAGAGTCAGAGGTTGTGCTTTAGGTAGTGTGAGGGGAGATGCTGGTCAAAAACAAAAAGACATAGTCAAGCTGAAACCAGAACACTAGATGAGATTCAACTGTAAGGAATATGGGTATATTTATGTGCTAGTTGTGTGTGCATGTGTGTGTGGTGTATATCTATTTTGAAGGACAAAATGAAGAAGGATATTTAGAAATAAGGAGGCTTTGTTATATAATAGCTGGTGAAATTGACAAACTTAAGGCCATGGTAACTGAGTCACAGTGAGTGGCTGAGAGAATATCAATTTGTTTGCCAGAGCACTAGAGGGAAACCTAATCATTTAGATTTAAAGCTGTTAAAAACCTTAAAGCAGTAAAAGCAAGGATTCATGTGATCAGATTTGCATTTTCAAAAGATTACTGATGTTAAAAGAATTCCTCCTGGATGAATTTTCCATATATTAGGAGTTGAAAATGGCAGGAATTTCTAGAACAAAGGGTTTTTTAAAGTAAATCCAATATTCATTGACTTCTTGCATTTCAAAAGCTCACAGGGCAAAATTTTGAGAATTATAAAAAGAAAAAAATGGGATGGGAAAGAAAAGAAAATGAAAGAAAACGGGAAAACCTCAATATTCAGCCCAAACCACAGGCCTACATTTTTATCAGGAGGAAGATGAGCAATGCAACATTTATGCCAATTAACAGCTCTCATGAAATTACAATGAATAGGCAAATATCAGAGGAAAATTCAAAATCCGAGCCTCGTCTTGGAATTAATGTGGTGAAAAACATTATTTCTGAAGTCATTGAAATGCATAGAATTGCTTAAGGACTAGAAAATTCAAAGCTGAGGCTTATTTGTCCTCCTGGACCCTTGGAGCCTTTGAATTTGGAAGCAACAATAAGGGCTGTGCAAGTTCAGAAATTGATTAAAAGAGTTCCTCTCACTGAGAGAAATTAGTCACAATAGTAAAATCCGAAAGAGCCTTGTAATCTCATAAGTGATATAGAAAAGCACAATGAATTGTTGGGAAAATGACATCGTATGTAGTGCATCCAATAAACTTTGCTTAGAGAGTTTATCATTACAAGTAAAGAGCATGTAGTTTGCAAATGGAAGAGAAGAGGTTGTTCTTAGGCAGTTATAATTCAACCTTGGATGTCTATAAAAGCAATGGTACAAAGATAACTGTAGACTAACTTGTCTATTTTTTTCTTAAGTTTTAGATTATATGTGCAGGATGCGCAGGTTTGTTACATAGGTAAATGTGTGCCATGGTGGTTTGCTGCAGCTGTCATCCCATCACCTTAGTATTCAGCCCAGCATGCATTAGCTATTTTTCCTGATGCTCTTCTTTCTCCCTCAAGCCCTGCAGGCCCCAGTGTGTGTTGTTCCCCTCCCTTGTCCATGTGTTCTCACTGTTCAGCTCTAACCTATGAGTGAGAACATGCAGTACTTGGTTTTCTGTTTCTGCATTAGTTTGCTGAGAGTAATGGCTTCCAGCTTCATCCATGTCCCTGCAAAGGACATGATCTTGTTCCTTTTTATGGCTGCATAGTATTCCATGATGTATATGTACCACATTTTCTTTGTCCAGTCTATCATTGATGAGCATTTGGGTTGATTACATGCCTTTGCTATTGTGAGGAGTGCTGCCATGAACACAAGCATGCATGTATTTTTTTTTTATTATTATACTTTAAGTCCTAGGGTACATGTGCACAACGTGCAGGTTTGTTACATAGGTATACATGTACCATGTTGGTTTGCCGCACCCATCAACCTGTCGTTTACATTAGGTATTTCTCCTAATGCCACCCTCCCCCAGACCCCCACCCCCTGAAAGGCCCAGGTGTGTGATGTTCCCTGCCTTGTGTCCAAGTGTTCTCATTGTTCAATTCCCACCTACGAGTGAGAACATGCATGCATATATTATTATAATAGAATGATTTATATTCCTTTGGGTATATACCCAGTAATAGGATTGCTGAATCAAATGGTACTTCTGGCTCTAGGTCTTTGAGGAATTGCCATACTGTCTTCCACAATAATTGAACTAATTTACATTCCCCAAGACAGTGTAAAACCATTCCTATCTCTGTGCAGCCTCACCAGAATCTGTTGTTTCTTGACTTTTTAATAATTGCCTTCCGACTGGTATGAGATAGTATCTCATTGTGGTTTTGATTTGCATTTCTATAATAATTGGTGATGATAATCTTTTTGTTGGCTTCACAAATGTCTCTTGAGAAGTGTCTGTTCATTTTCTTTGCCCAATTTTTAATGAGGTTGTTTGTTTTTTACTTGTAAATTTGTTTAAGTTTCTTGTAGATTTTGATTGTTAGACCTTTGTCAGATGGATAGGTTATAAAACTTCTCTTCCATTCTGTAGGTTGTCTGTTCTCTCTGATGATAATTTCTTTTGCTATGCAAAAGTTCTTTAGTTTAAATAGATCCCATTTGTCAATTTTTGCTTTTGTTGCAATTGCTCTTGATGTTTTTGTCATAAAATCTTTTTCTGTGTCTATGTCCTGAATGGTATGGCCTAGATTTTCTTCTAGAATTTTTATAGCTTTGATTTTTCATTTAAGGATTGAATCTATCTTGAGTTAATTTTTGTATAAGTTGTAAGGAAGATATTCAGTTTCAATAAGGAAGATGTTCAGTTTCAATTTTCTTCATATGGCTAGCCAGTTCTCCCAGTACCATTTATTAAATAGGGAATCCTTTCCCCATGGCTAGTTTTTGTCAGGTTTGTCAAAGATCAGGTAGTGGTAGATGTGCGGTTTTATTTCTGAGTTCCCTATTCTGTTCCATTGGTCTATGTGTCTGTTTTTGTATCAGTATCATGCTTTCTTTGGTTACTGTAGCTTTCACTCGCATCCATGTGAAGAGACCACCAAACAGGCTTTGTGTGAGCAACAAGGCTGTTTATTTCACCTGGGTGCAGGCGGGCTGAGTCCGAAAAGAGAGTCAGTGAAGGGAGATGGGGTGGGGCCGTTTTATAAGATTTGGGTAGGTAAAGGAAAATTACAGTCAAAAGGGGTTTGTTGTTCTCTGGCGGGCAGGAGTGGGGGTCACAAGGTGCTCAGTGGGGGAGTTTTTTTGAGCCAGGATGAGCCAGGAAAATGAATTTCTCAAGGTAATGTCATCAGTTAAGGCAAGGACCGACCATTTTCACTTCTTTTGTGGTGGAATGTCATCAGTTAAGGCAGGAACAGGCCATTTAAATATCACTTCTTTTGTGATTCTTCAGTTACTTCAGGCCATCTGGATGTATACGTGCAGGTCACAGGGGATATGATGGCTTAGCTTGGGCTCAGAGGCCTGACAGTAGCTTTGTATTATAGTTTGAAGTTGGGTGGCATGGTGCCTCCAGCTTTGTTCTTTTTGCTTAGGATTGTCTTAGCTATGCGGGCTCTTTTTTGGTTCATATGAATTTTAAAGTAGATTTTTCTAATTCTGTGAAGAATGTCAATGGTAGTTTAATGGAAATAGCATTGAATCTACAAATTACTTTTGGCAGTATGGCCATTTTCATGATATTAACTCTTTCTAACTATAAACATGGAATGTTTTTGCATTTGTTTATGACTTCTGATTTTCTTGAGCAGTGGTTTGTGCTTCTCCTTGAAGAGGTCTTTCGCCTCCCTTGTTAGATGGATTCCTAGGTATTTCATTCTCTTTGTAACAATTGTGAATGGGAGTTCATTCATGATTTTGCTCTCTGCTTTTCTGTTGTTGCATAGGAATGCTTGTGATTTTGCCATTGATTTTGTATCCTGAGACTTTGCTGAAGTTGCTTATCAGCTTAAAAAGCTTTTGAACTGAGACACTGGGGTTTTCCAGATATAGAATCATGTCATCTGCAAATAGAGACAGTTTGACTCCCTCTTTTTCTCTTTGAATACCTTCTATTTCTTTCTCTTGCCTGATTGTCCTGGCCAGAACTTGTGATACTATGTGGAATAGGAGTGGGGAGAGAGGACATCCTTTTCTTTTGCTGGTTTTCAAGGAGAATGCTTCCAGCTTTTGCTGGTTCAGTGTGATATTGGCTGTGGGTTTTTCAAAAATGGCTCTTATTCTTTTGAGTTATGTTCCACTAATACCTAGTTTATTGAGGGTTTTTAACATAAAGAGATGTTGAATTTCATTGAAGGCCTTTTCTGCATCTATTAAAATAATCACGTAGGTTTTGTCTTTAGTTCTCTTTACGTAATGAATTACGTTTATTGCATTGTATATGTTGAACTAGCCTCGCATCCCAGGGATGAAGCTGTCTTGATGAAGCTGACTTCATCATGGTGGATAAGCTTTTTAATGTGCTGCAGGATTTGATTTGCCAGTATTTTATTGAGGATTTTTGCATTGATGTTCATCAAGGATATTGGCATTACATTTTCTTTTTTTGTTGTATCTCTGCCAGGTTTTGGTATCAGGATGATGCTGGCCCCACAAAATGAGTTAGGGAGGCGTCTTTCCTTTTCAAATGTTTGGAATAGTTTCAGAAGAATGGGTACCAGCTCCTCTTTGTACCTCCAGTAGAATTCAGCTATAAATCCATCTGTTCCTTGGATTTGTTTCATTAGTAGGCTATTTATTACTGCATCAATTTCCAAACTTGTTGTTATTGGTCTATTCAGGAATTCAACTTCTTCTTGGTTTAGTCTTGGGAGGGTGTTTGTGTCCAGGAATTTATCTATTTCTTCTAGATTTTCTACTTTCTTTGCATAAAGGTGTTTATAGTATTCTCTGATGGTTGTTTGTATTTCTGTGGGGTCAGTAATGATATCCCCTTTATCATTTTTATTGTGTCTATTTGATTCTTCTCTCTTTTCTTCTTTATTAATCTAGCTAGCAGTCTATTTTGTAAATTTTCCTTTTAAAAAATGTCCTGGATTTATTGATTTTTTTGAAGGGTATTTTGTATCTCTATCTTCTTCATTTCCACTCTGATCTTGGTTATTTCTCGTCTTCTTCTAGCTTTGGAGTTTGTTTTCTCTTGATTCTCTAGTTCTTATAGTTGTGATGTTAGTATGTCAATTTGAGATCTTTCTAGCTTTTTGTTGCCCACATTTAGTGCTCACACAGAATCGATACAGAGAAAGGCCTCTCCTTTGGAAGCAGGCAGTAGATCTTGTCTCCCAGCTTTTCCATCTAGTAAAGGGATGGCCTTGGGTAAATTACTTAATTCCTCAGTGCCTTATGTATTCACATATATAATATGAGGGAAACAACTTAACTAGCTAATTAGACCCTGCTTTCAAATTTTTTGTGTTGGAGAGAGTTGAAGTAAGATTGATGAATCATATGATATTTATAATTATTTGAGGAACTGTCATACTCTTTTCCGAACTGGTTACACTGTTTTTTTAATTCCTGGGTTTCAACTTACACATTCCTGCCAATGCTTATTACTTTCTTTCCTTTTGTATTTTTGATTGTAGCCATTGTAATGGGTGTGAAATATCTTATTGTGGTTTGGATTTGCATTCCTCTGATTAGTGATGCTGCATATCTTGTTAAGTACTTTTTGGTGATTTGTATATCATTTTTGGAAACAGTTATTTAAGTTATTTTCCACTTTCAAATTAAGTGATTTTATTCTGGTTTTGAGTTGTGAAAGGTCTTTATGTATTCTGGATATTAATTCATTTTTGGGTATAGGATTTGCAAATTATTTCACAGGTTCCATTTTCAATCTACTGATCATGTCCTTTGATACATAAAAGTTTTAAAGTTTGATATGGTCCCATTTGTGTATTTTTGTTTTTATTGCCTGTATTCTTGATGTCATAGCCAAGAAATCATTGTCAAACCTGCCGTCATGAAGAGTTTCTCCTATATGTTCTTCTAGGACTTCTATAGTGTAGGATGTTAACATTGAGCTGTTTAATTCACTTTGAGCTCATTTTTGTATGTGGCATAAGGGTCCAGATGTATTATTTTACATGTGGATATACAGTTTTCCTTATACCATTTATCATAAAAACTGTCCTTTCCCCATTGAGTTGTCTTTGCACCTTTCTTGAAAATCATTTCAATGTATATAAGAGGGTTGATTTTTCGGCTGTCTGTACTGTTCCACTGGGCTACATGTCTGTCTAATGTCAGTACCACAGTGTTTGAATTATCATAGCTTTGTAAAACATTTTGAAATAAAGAAGTATGAGTCCTCTAGTTTTGTCATTTGTCAAGAGTATTTAAGCTACCAAGGGTCCTTTAAGAATCCATATGTATTTTTATATGATTATTTCTATTTCTGCAAAAAATACTACCGGGATTTTTATTGGAATTGCATTAAATCGAAAGATAGTTTTGGGTAATATTGACATCTTAAAAATTAAGGCTTCCAGGCTGGGTGTGGTGGCTCATGCCTGTAATCCCAGCACTTTGGGAGGCTGAGGTAGGCGGATCATGAAGTTAAGAGATTGAGACCATCCTGGCCAACATGGTGAAACTCTGTCTCTACTAAAAATACAAAAAAAATTAGCTGGGCGTGGTGGCACGCGCCTGTAGTCCCAGCTACTCGGGAGGCTGAGGCAGGAGAATCTCTTGAACCCGGGAGGTGGAAGTTGCAGTGAGCTGAGATCGCACCACTGCACTCCAGCCTGGCAACAGAGCAAGACTGTGTCTAAAAAAAAAAAAAAAAAATTAAGGCTTCCAATCCATAAACATGAGATAACATCCCATTTATTTGTGACTTATATAATTTATTTCAGCAATACTTTCTAATTTGTAGTGTATAAGTCTTTTGCCTTCTTAGGTTTAATCTTAAGCATTTTTTATATTGTTTTAAATGGAATTATCTTTTTACTTTTATATTCTCATTGTTCATTGTTATTCTATAGAAATGCAACTTATTTTAACGTATTGATTATGTGTTTTGCAACTCTGCTGATTTTATTTATTAGCTCTAACAGATTTGTTAACTCTCCCTCCGTCCCCCAGGCTGGAGTGCAGTGGTGCGATCTCAGCTCACTGCAAGCTGCGCCTCCCGGGTTCACGCCATTCTCCTGCCTCAGCCTCCCGAGTAGTTGGAACTACAGGCGCCCGCCACCACGCCCGGCTAATTTTTTGTATGTTTCTTAGAAACGGGGTTTCACCGTGTTAGCCAGGATGGTCTCGATCTCCTGATGTCGTGATCCGCCCGTCTTAGCCTCCCAAAGTGCTGGGATTACAGGCGTGAGCCACTGCGCCTGGCGCACAGATTTGTTTTTATATAATATTTAAGGTTTTCTACATACAAGTTCATGTCATCAGTGAACAGGTAAAAGTACTTTTTTCTTCCAAACGTGGATGCCTTGTATTTCACTTGCATAACTGCTCTGTCTAGGCCTTCCAATAATGTGTTAAACAAAAGTGATGTTGGTGAGCATACTTGTCTTCTTCCTATTTTAGAGGAAAAGATTTCATTAATTCACCATTAAGTGTGATGCTAACTGTGGGCTTTTCATATATGGTCTTTATTATATTGAGATAATTTTCTTCTATTCATGTTCTGTTGTATGATTTTTATCATGAAAGAGCATTGTATTCTTCCATATAATTTTTATAATGAAAGGGCATTGAATATTGTTGAACAGTTTCTCTGCAAAAGTTGACATGATCGTAGGGTTTTGTCTTTTATTCTGCAAATGTGGTGTACTACATTGACTGCTTTTTATAAGTTGAACCATCCTTGTATCCCAGGAATACATTTTACTTGTTTGTGGTGTTTAATTCTTTTAATGTGTTGTTGAATTAAGCCTGTTAGCATTTTCTGAGAGCTTTGGTATTAATATTCATCATGGATATTAGTTATTAATTTTATTTTCTTGCAATGTCTTTGGCGTTGGTATCAGGGTAATTCTGGCTTTATAAAATTAGCTCAGAAGTTTTCCCTACTTTTCAATTTTTTGAAAGAGTTTCAAGAGGATTGATGTTAATTCTTTAAATGTTTGGTAACATTCTTTAATGAAGTTATCTGGTTTGGGGTTTTTATTTGTTGGGAGCTTTTCATTAATTATTTAGTTTACTTACCAGTTATTAAACTGTTCATATATCTTATTTCTTCATGATTCAAAGTAATTTAGCTATTTCTTCTAGATTATTCAATTTGTTAGCATATTTAATATTATTTTAATTCTTTTATTTTGTGGTATTGATTGTAATATACATTTGTTTATTTCTGATTTTAATTATTTGAATCCTCTCTCTTTTTTCTTAGTAACACTATGTAAGGGTAGTATGTGAATTTCATTGTTGTTTTCAAAAAATCAATTCTTAGCTCTATTGATATTTTTCTATTGCTCTTCAAAAATCATATATTTAATCACAGCTAAGCCAGCTATACTGCTAGGCAAGACACTGACATTTATGAGAGCATATTAAGGTGTAACCTATTTTTTTCTCTTAATAAATAAGGGAATTAGGAAAAATTCAAAAACTTTCAAGACATATTATGACTAATACATTTAATTTTCTTCATTTTTCTCTATTTTTTTCTCTATTTTTGATAAATGATCAACTTTATTCCAGAAACATAGCCTTTATGGATATATTTAGAAGATATTTTATGTTTTCCAACAGATACAATTAAACTCAAGTTTTACTTCCCTTAGATGTGACTGACATTTAACTACCTACTTGATTGAATATAACACTTTATTTCATGACCATCAGAGGTTACTCTTTAAGCAGAATTCTTGGGAGTTAGACTTCCAAACATTTTTGCCCTGTTCACCTACTGAGACACAAATGAAGGCAACAGCTCACAAGGAATATTCACTTCCTAGAATGATATTAATCAATAAATATTGCCAAAGATCTATAAATGGATTTTGTTCATCATCTGTTTTGTCCATTCAGTATACCATACATCCTGCAACGCCATATCCACTTGGCTTTTTTGACAAGACGTTTTTCTAATCCTCCTCATAATTTTAGACTATGCTTTTGAGTACCAAACTTCCTCATATTGCCCAATAAATGCTGAAATTCAAAAGGCCCTTCTTAGCCTTTTTCATGTTACCACCGTGTGTGTGTGTGTATGTGTGTGTGTGTGTGTGCACGTGTGTGTGCATGTGTGTCTTTTATTCCTTAAGTTATCTTAGCCCACAGTTTCAATTAATACCTATAAAAAGAGACAAGAGACTTTACAAGCTTACAAATCTCACTGTGACCACTTTACTCTCTCCCCCGGGCTCCAGAGATGTAGATTAAACTTTCTGTGTATTACCTGGAGTGTTGTAAAGGACTGTAAGCCAAAACATAAGAACTCACTGATGTAGCTACTTAAGGAGTTGCCAAAACTACCAAACTTCAAGAAGTAGCCATTGTCTCTTGTCTGCATCATTATATTGCACTGTATACCTTGTGCTGCCTATTAAGTACTTTAGGAGTAAACACAAGTAAAAGCATTTTAGAAGTGTTAAAGTCATTTCACCTATTTTAGATTAGCATTAATGAGGAGCAGGGATAAATAATGACAAGATGAATAGAGAAAAGAAAATAAATAACAAGGACTGAAAAATATTAGTTATGTCTAGTGTTAGTTTAAGCCAGGGGAAGCTTCAGTGCATTTTAGAGTGCATATGGGATTATTTAAACTTTAGTTCAAATTTTAGTATAACATAATTCAGTAGTCAAATCAGTAATATTAATTATACTTAAGTAGTTAATTAAAAACAAACAAACATTAACGTAAGAGTTAGAAAGATCATGTTCAAGTAATTTTTCAATTAATTGTATAAGAAAGTTCCATAGGCCGGGCGCGGTGGCTCACGCCTGTAATCCCAGCACTTTGGGAGGCCGAGGCGGGTGGATCATGAGGTCAGGAGATCGAGACCATCCTGGCTAACAAGGTGAAACCCCGTCTCTACTAAAAATACAAAAAATTAGCCGGGCGCGGTGGCGGGCGCCTGTAGTCCCAGCTACTCGGGAGGCTGAGGCAGGAGAATGGCGTGAACCCGGGAAGCGGAGCTTGCAGTGAGCCGAGATTGCGCCACTGCAGTCTGCAGTCCGACCTGGGCGACAGAGCGAGACTCCGTCTCAAAAAAAAAAAAAAAAAGAAAGTTCCATAGACAGGTAGATAGGTAATTTAATTTCTCTGACGTTCACTGTTAATATCAGGTAAAATGAAGTAAAATGTAATAAATTGGATTAAGTGATTAGATAAGATAGAAAATGTATAAATGAGCAGAAATCCTTTAATTATATGAATATATGAGTTTATCACTATTTTGGAATGTTTGACATATTCCTAAAGAATAAATAACCTCTTCATTGTATTGCTTGTTATCACTTTGGTTGGTATCATGGAAATGAGGATATTTCATTTTTTATTCAAAAATCCTGGGAAGGAATAAAATTTGATATTAATATAAATTTTATTTTTAAAACTATGAAAAATCTTTCTCTTAATGCATTTCATTATTATGTATGAGTTATACAGTCTGGTTATGTAAGAACAAAATGTGTCAAGGATTATGCAAAATATTTAATATAATTTATTTTAATAAACTTTAAACTCTAATAAAAAAGTTTTTATTATATATATAGCTTTTATTAATGAGCAATTGACTCCATCATACAAGGAACTTAAACAAATTTACAAGAAAAAAATAAACATCCCCATCACAAAGTGGGAGAAGGATATATACAGACACTTCTCAAAAGAAGACCTTTATGAGGCCAACAAACATGAAAAAAAGCTCATCATCACTGGTCATTAGAGAAATGCAAATCAAAACCACAAAGAGATACTATCTCATGCCAGTTAGAATGGTGATCATTAAAAAGTCAGGAGACAACAGATGCTGGAGAGGATGTGGAGAAATGGGAATGCTTTTACACTGTTGGTGGGAGTGTAATTTGTGTAAATTTGTTCAACCATTGTGGAAGACAGTGTGACGATTCCTCAAGAATCTGGAACCAGAAATACTTGACCCAGCAATCCCATTACTGGGTATATACCCAAAGGATTATAACTCATTCTACTATAAAGACACATGCACAAAGCAAAGACTTGGAACCAACCCAAATGCCCATCAATGATAGACTGGATAATGAAAAAGTGGCACATATACACCATGGAATACTATGCAGCGATAAAAAAAGAATGATATCATGCCCTTTGCAAGGACATGAATGAAGCTGGAAGCCATCATTCTTAGCAAAATAACACAGGAACAGAAAACCAAACACTGCATGTTCTCTCTCATAAGTGGGTGGTGAACTATGAGAACACATGGGCACAGGGAGGGGAACATCATACACCGGGGCCTGTCGGGGAGTGGGGGGCAAGGGGAGGGATAGCATTAGGAGAAATACCTTATGTAGATGATGCGTTGACGGGTGCAGCAAACCACCATGGCACATGTATCCCTATGTAACAAACCTGCCAGTTCTGCACATGTATCCCAGAACTTAAAGTATATATATATTAAAAAAAAATCTAAAGCAGCCCGATATTTAGATTCATTTGACTGATGCAGACTGATTTAGACTTATTTAATCAATTCCATTTAATGATTAATTGCATATATTCCATATAATGAAAGACACTAGATTGAATATAACCTTCGGTATGTTTGTGATGCCTTCTTTCAACCTTGTGCCTTCTTCTTTGAATCTCATTCCTCTGATGTCTGAATAGATTCCTCTTTTTCATGTAATCTTACATATATTTATTGTACATGCTACTTGCCTTTTAAAAATTAATTACTGTTAACATATATATTCTACATAGAGTTTTGTTATTGTTTTACACATAACTTTTTTGAAAAATTATCCATATTTAACATCCCTTTGAATGTGAACAGTGAATAATTAACACAATGTTTTTTTTTTTTTTTTGGTGGTGAGAGGGAATAAATTAGGTACTCAATTGCATACCAGAGAGGTACATATTTCCTTTGAATTTAGCTAGGCTTGGGCAGGTGGGTAGAGAGACTAATGTTTTTCTCTAAGTGTGCCATTTATCAACCACCACAGTGGCTCAAAGCAATTTTGTTCTCTCTTCATGTCTCAGGGGTCCCAATATAGATTTTCATTTTGCCAGCTGGAATAAGCCTGAAAACTCTACCTGATGCTTGGTCCTGATCAGCTGCTGGTCTTCATTGACTGAGCAAGTAATCATTTTACTGCCACTAAGATGGAGAGGTGACCTATCTTATGAGTGACCTTGTAATTCATTTCCTCTTTGTATGACACTAATCTGTCCTGTTGAAGGACAACAGAAATTGCCTGGGTTAAATAATGAGAAGCCTGGGTCACTGGCCACATCTTCAGATGAAATCCACAGTTTGTAGGTGAGGATAAAATATATACAGAGCTTCTTCTAAGTAGAATTCTACAAAAGACCATGCACACACACACACACACACACACACACACATCTCTATCAGAATTCTTGAGAAGCCCCATATATATCTTATTCTCACTTCATATACACTTTATTCTCTCACACCGTTTTTTATTTGGAACTGTGGCCAGTGACACAGACTTTTCATTATTTAGTCCAAACAGCTTCTTTTGTTCTTAAATAGTATGGATTAGTGTGAATTAAGAGCAAATTTATTACAGGGTCACTCTTATGATAGGTTACTTCTCCATTTTAGTACAGCGTGTGTGTGTGTGTGTGTGTGTGTATGTATAGTCATCAAAATTCTGCTTTGGTGAAGCTCCATATATATTCGTGGATTTCATCAAGGGAAATAATTTTGTGTATGTTTGTTGTTTTCTTGATTACTTATGCTACAATGTCATTTTTTAGTGTTTATTAACAATAAGAATACCTTTATGCATTACTTGATTGGATAAGTCCCCTTTGGTAAACTATCTCTAATATTTTACATGCAGATATATTTAGTTGACTTTACCAAAGAAATACTTTTTAGGATTTGTTTTGTGCACATCAATATGACAGATAATGGAAATGCAAGGATGAATACACACCAGGCTTTATTTTTTATTAAAAGATCTAAAGTACCCTGGCATCAAAAGTGAAAACATGGATGTGCTGAACAATTAAATAAATTACGCAATTATATTTTTTCAATCATTTAAATTAAAATAATTTATATCAAAATTTAAAGTGGCAACCCTTAAAGTGTTACTTCTGCAAAGAGCTTTTAATTTATTTTTTCTTAAAACATACATCTGTTTTATTTATATATTACTTCATAGCAAACTATCCTATAACTTAATGGCATACAAAAGGAGAAATTTTAACATGTTCATAGATTTTGAAAGGAATTCAGAAAGAACACAGTTAGGATGGCTTGTCTGGGTCCCCAGATGTCTGGGAGATCAGCTGTGAATATATAAACACCTACAGCGGGAAGAGCTGGAGCTAGAAATTTCATTTCAATCTTGGCTTCTTCCACTCATGTGTCAGGTTCTTGGGCTCAGCTTGTCTGTCTCTGTGTTGTACAGGAACACCTAAATGGTGATATTACATCAACATCATTAAGTACATCTTTAGAATTTATGTAATAGAATTTGAATGCAAGATGTATAGTGACTCATTCATCTCCTGTAGTTACAACTAGCTGAGAAATGGACAAAGTAATCACATGAAAATATTAGTTTTATGATGCTAAAATTGGATTGTAGGAAGTGGTCTAGATATGAAGCCACCATGGTCTTTATACTCCCTGCAATATTAAAATTACTCGCTCAGTCACAGAGAGCAAGACCTTCTCCTTATAGACCTCCTCAGTCGAGTAGAGTTTGGTGAATAAACCAGAAGCCCTCTCCCTCTGAACAGGAACATCCCAGAGAAGGAACACAAGAATCTGAGCCAGCGATGCTTGTTTCCTTCTTTCTAATGCAGAAAGAACTAAAACTCATAAAGATGCTGGAATCTAGTAAGTTCCCATGTAAAAACAAAGAATAAAAAACACGAGGTGTCTCTCAACAGTGTGAAATACACTGAGCAAATCATGTTGCTTTATGATATTTGAAGACTAGAATATTTGTAAGACTAGATAAAGGGATAGATAATTTGGAACAAATTTTCTCTGAAAATTACGGGTTTTCCTCTGATTAGTTTATTACATATGATTGATTATTATATTTTCAGATTAAAAGAACTATTTGCTTATAGTACAAGCCTAAAATTTGAAAAACATAATTTCTGTTTTTGCCTTTAAGCAAAAGAATGATACATTGAATGATTACCATTTACTGAACACCAAATCATATTATAAATGCTATGCTAGACAAAGGCAATTAGAACAAAATAGAAACACACACACACACACACACACACACACACACACACAACTATGAGGGACTAAGGAAGAGCTTTACTAGAATAAAGGCCAAGAGCGAATCTGAAAACAAATCAGTGTTCAGATATTTACTGTGGCCTTAAATGTTGGTACTCACCCCAGTTAATCCAAGAGAAGAACACTATGTTTATATGGTACATATACACCATGGAATACTATACAGCCTTTAAAAGGAATGAGATCATGTCCTTTGCAGGGACATGGATGGCGCTGGAAGCTATTATTCTCAGCAAACTAACACAGGAACAGAAAACCAAACATCACATGTTCTCACTTACAAGTGGGAGCTGAACAATGAGAACACATGGACACAGGGAAGGGAACATCATATACTAGGGGCCTTCAGAGGGTGGGGTGAGGCAGGGAGAACATTAGGAAAAATAGCTAATACATGCTGGGCTTAATACCTAGTTAATAGGTTGATAAGTGCAGCAAACCACCATGGCACATATTTACCTATGTAAAACACCTGCACATCCTGCACATGTACCCCAGAACTTAAAATTAAAAAAAACAAAAACCTTGAAAAATAATCAGAATCTACCTTTTACTACCTCACATTTCAAAAGCTGTATTTTGCTGCACTGTTTATTGAATGCTTCCAGTTCTTCATCAACATTTTTGAAGGTGTCATAGATGTCTGAGAAAAGCAAAGGACGAGTGAATCTGAATGTCATGTCATCAAGGACCTAAAAAAAGCTGTGAATTGGAATAGTATCCTTGTCGAATACTGCCCATGTGTATTCTGGTTAAATTGCCATGATTTAAGAAAAATTCATACTGGAAGTAATATGGAGAAGGGAGCAAGGTTAAAGTAGGGGATGTTCATTACAGTTTTTGTCAACGTTTCCAACTTTGTTTTTATGTGCTTGTTTGTGTGTGTGTGTTTAATAAGTGTAAAACAGATCCCAAAGAGATTCATTAAGACCTAATATAACTAATAATAAACCTCAGGTTGAGATAAATTTAGAAAAATACACTCGAAGCTACTGTATGTAAGAAAAGCAAAGTGAAATAAAATCCTTGAAAATCATTTACCAAATTTAATACCAAATCAGTATACACTAAGGGTATAATAGGCATTTGGAATCATTTGGGGCTTTCTTTTTATATAGATGTGAAATTTATGGCAACTGCCAACTATTACCTATAGCATTTTATTTTTCTACTAATAATTAGAAAATTAATAAAAGGAGTGAATTATTTATGTAGTGGTAGATCTAAAGTTTGATTAGACTGTCTAGGATAATTAAATTTTTTTCGTTGAAACCATAAATTGCAAATCATCATTAATTTGAACCTATGTAATCACCTCAGATATTGAAACAAATATATATAAACTGTTATAGGGATTTAGACATAAAAGAAAAAAAATGAACCAGTGTGTTTTCTCACGTCCGTAACTTCAAATACAACATGGAAATTTATATGTAAAGTAGATATACTGCTTTTTTCTATGTTAAAATTTTATTTTTATTTTCATAGTTGTGGAATTACTCATTGTACTTAAAAAAAGCTACACACATATTTATGTGAGCATATATTTATATAAAGTGAACAATTAGAGAATATTATGGCACGGTGACATCTGGTTTCATCAGTCATTGTGTAAACATGATGCAAAATACATTGATATAGAATGAAGCTGTATTATTTGTTTATTTTCATTGCAGTTAAAAATACACAATGAAAACAGCACCACTTGATTGTTAATGTCGCTCCTCAATTAGCATAAAAGAAAATCAATTTTTCTCTGGCTTGAGGGGCAAAACAACCGAGAGTTGTTTTCTTCCTCCAGCTACATTTTTATCAAATCCATCTTTACTGCAAACTATGTTTGAATCTTAGGCAAGTAATTTTCATTCGTGTAAGTCAGAAAGAATTTTCAATTGAAACTTTCTATGCTCCCTTAAAGAAATATATTAGCCACCACATGGTGGTTTAAGAGCTTAATTACCTTTTTCTCACTCTTCCAAGTTACACATCCAGGTGGGTGGTCTCTAAACACTCAAGCAGTTATTCCAAAGGCACAGAAGACATGCAAGTTTTTAGCTCTTCTACTGGACTCAAAGATGAATTATATTCAATCATGTTTGGCTTTAGATGAAATGGTTTGAAAACAGTTTCAGTTTTAGCTCTTCAGTGAGTCATTCTCCACTGAATGGCAAAGTGTGATAAATGATAACCGAGCTGCAAGAAAGGATGATACTAAAATAAACAATCCAATTACCCAGGAGAAACAGCAGGGCAATAACAAAAATGGCCTTTCTCTTACTTCTGTTGGGTACTGAATAATGGAAAAATATAAAAAGACATAAATGTACTTTGATATAGAAATAAAGGCTGTCTACCTTCTAATAGGAAGTGGTGCACTTTATCTCATTACTCTTACAGGAAGCCACATTATTAATTAATTAGAGTGAAAAAGAGATACAGGTGAGTGCCTGTTACGTGCAGGGCTTATAGTAACACTTAAGTAACTAGACTACAATTTTATAAACAATAATTCACAGACTGGAATTGAAACCCTCTAGATTAAAGCCTCTCTCTCAATTCTTAGGTTATTCTATACTTGATCCTAGGTACCAGCGAACACATACAGTCTACAGAGACACAAATCCAAAGTGTGTAATCAGCATCTGTTCAATAAAAGCAAGCTGTCCTTGGGAAAATGCTGCTATTAAGAAAATTAAAAATTGTTCCACGTGTTCATGTGTGCAATTCTTCTCAGAGAAAATGTACTCTTTTCATATCTAGTGATATTCATGATGTATATAGCTTGTGAATGATATATGAAAACAGGGTTCAATACCACCCTGTCTTCTTAAAAAAACTATTTGTTAACTCATAACCCAAAAGGAAGATGCCTTATTATCATTAAGGTTGTTCAACATAATTTATTACAGGTAACAATACGGACACAAAAGAAAGAATGAAGCAGCCCATCACTGCAAAAGAAGTTATCACAATTTGAAAATGCTTCACAAACTACTTTAAAAGGAGCAAAAAGTATCAGGTTTCTTCCCCCTAAATTAATTGTTGACTATAATTGTGACTTTGCTTTTGCCTTCAAGAATGTTTCAATAGTAACTTTATTTCTTTGCTTATTTTTAAATAGTTTTATTATAGTTCATTATGTGAATATTAAGCTCTTTATATACGTTCTTTGATATTTTAGCATTAATAAACTGAGAATATTAGAAATATTATTTTAAACTTGAATCACATAACTTTCAAACTAAATTAATGTTAGTCAAAAGGTTGCCTTGTTCCTTGAGTAAATTAGATAATTTTCTGTCATTTGATATGCTGTACTGTTTTGGTCATAATGGAACATATTTTTCAATACTTGAGTTTTACTAAAAAGTCTGGTCACAGGAATTATAATGCCTGTTTCTCTTTTGCAGTATAATTACCCAATAATGTGGCTTTTTATTGCCTTTGTGCCTCGATTTATTCATCTATAAAAAGGGGATAATAGCAATTGCTCTGTAAGATTCCCTGGGACATTACATTTGTAACTTATTCTCCATTAAAAAGCATCTTTCAAATATTTAAAGATTCAATAAATGTTAGCGTTAGTCTTAGTATTAATATAAACCTGGTTTGCTTATTCAGCATTTGTATTATTTAACTTTTCTTAGCCATCAAAGAAGTTCTAGAGACCAAGAAATATTCCCAATTTCTGATAGGCCATGCAGGATTTTATATACTTTAAAACCCTCTTTAGTGACAATAGGCATGTCAAAGACAGACTTTTCTGTGCCATAACAGCAAGTTCATTCCATATAAATGCATACATGGGGTAGTTCTTCAGAGAACTCTGAAAGAATAAAAGAACTTCAGAGAGTTCTTTTAACTCTCCCATATTAATCCAAAAAAATATGATTTCTATGAGATCTCAAATCTGGGAATATGAAATAACACATCTACTGTGAGCCCCAAATAAATCCAATGCCTTAGCTACTCTTTGAAACTTTTGACAGTTTTTATTTTTAATATTTGTATTATTTTATTTCTGAAAGCTTACAAAGAGTAAATGCAGAAATCATAAGTAATGGCTCAATAATCAGATACTCTATGACCACCACAAAATAATTAGATAATTATTGAGATTTCAGAAGCCAACCCTCATTTTTCTTCCAGGTGTCTACTTCTCTCTCCATCCCAAAGGTCACCACTGTGCTGACCTTTGAATATCATATCCTATATTAGTTTCTTCCACCCATTGAAACATGTGTAAGTGAATCACATAATAAGCACTGCTTAGTGTCTAATTTCTTTCACTTCACTATATGTATATAAGTCATTCATATCGTGAGTAGCAATGAGTTCATTTTCATTGCTGAATAGAATTTTATTTTATGCATATAACATATTCTTTCTTTGTTTAATGGAAATACTGTTGCTCCAGATTAGACAATTATGAATAATTATGCTATAGATACATATAAGCATATCTTTTTTGTGACATATATACATATATCTTTTGGGACTACAGCTAGGATCATTAGTAGTCAATTTCAAAAATTTTTCTAAAGAAAATAGAAAAATATTTCACTTCCATCAGTAGTTCATGCTTGCTAAACTGACGTTACATTTTCCTTTTTTAATTCTATTAGGTTTGTAGTGATATATAGATATTTCAGATTTAATTTGCATTTCCTTTATTCTTATGAGTAACTACCTTTTCATAATTTTTTGGGCCATTTGGACATCTTTTGAGAGACACATTGAAATCTTTTTCAATTTCTTATATTATTTCTTCAAATTTTTCTTGATGATTCGCAGGAGATCTTTATGTAATCTAGATAAGAAGTCTTTGTCTGTTTGGGGTATTGAATGTATATTCTCATTCTCTGTGACAACAGAAGTTATCAATTGTAGCCTATTTAATCGGTTTTTATTTATGGTTAGTGCTTTTTGTATCCTGTCTAAAATTATTACCTCTCCCAAGGTTACGAACATATTATCCTATGTTATATGATAAACATCCTTATTCTTTTACTTACATGTTTAGGTCTATAGTACACAGTGAATTCAATTTTGTATCTGATGTGACATGGAGTAAATTTCATTACTTTTCATTTGGATATACAAATGACCGACAGCATTTATTGAATAGGCCATCTCTTCCCCAATGCTCTATACTGCAACAGAGGTGACAAACTTCCTGTAAAATGTCAGGTTTAAAATAACTTTAGACGTTCAGGTCCGGTCTCTGACACAACAATTCAGCTCTGCTATTGAAGCAGACAGTAACCATAGACCAGACCATAAGTGAAGAGATGGGCCTGTGCTCAAATATAATTTTATTTTATTTTATTTTATTTTTGAGACAGAGTTTCACTCTTGTTGCCCAGGCTGGAATGCAATGGAGTGATCTGGGCTCACTGCAACTTCCACCTCCCGGGTTCAAGAGATTCTCCTGCCTCAGCCTCCCGAGTAGCTGGGATTACCTTTAGATACACCTTAGACCAGAAGCCACAATCATATTGCTTCTGGATTCGGCCATTAGGCTTGCTAATCCAATGTCATGATAACATGCTTTCCTCTGTCAACCCAGAGAATAATAATCAAAAGCAAAGGTCCCATTTGGGCACCACATTTCAGTGATAACTTCATTGCTTAGCCAACTACATTAATATAACTCATTAATTAACAGCCATGGGAGTGGACGATCTTAGCCCCCTACACATACCCTCCACTTGGGTGAGAACATTCACTAACAGATTCTAAAAGTTCTTTCATATCTTTGAACCTAGTCCTAAAGGTCATTGGATTTCTCCTCCTAAAAGTCATGTCTCTGGTAGCATTTCATCTTTATTGACAAAGTCAATCCTGTGAAGGTTCTAAAATGTTTATCCATTTTTAAGCTAACATTTTGGCCTGACACAGTTTCATGAATGCTGGCATAAAACACAGGGCTTTATGCACCGATTTTAACCATATTTGTATAATTTGGAAGACTAGAAAATAATAGTCTTATTCAACATATTTTTCTTTGATATTAAAAAGTGTTATGGTCAGGCGTGGTGGCTCACGCCTGTAATCCTAGCACTCTGGGAGGCCAAGGTGGGCAGATCACGAGGTCAGGAATTCGAGACCAACCTGACCAAAATGGCAAAACCCCATCTCTGCTAAAAATACAAAAATTATCTGGGCATGGTGGCACGTGCCTATAATCCCAGCTAGTCAGGAGGCTGAGGCAGGAGAATCACTTGAACCTGGGAGGCGGAGGTTGCCGTGAGCGGAGATAGCACCACTGCACTTCAGCCTGCACGACATATTGGTGTGTTTCTATTCTGTGGCGGATTTTCTCCATATTTATGAAGGTAAAATATTCAAAAGTCCATATATTCTTTTTTTATGTTGCAGTTACATATGTATATGGGTGTGTGTGAGTGTGTGTATACATATATATATACACACATACACATATATGAGTTGTAAAGTATTGCTATTTTAAAATGTGAGTACATACATATAGACAAAAATATAAGTACATTTTTAAAATATGTAATTCATTGAATTATGTATTCATTGTCTTGTAGATTCTCACTGAATTTTTATTTCATAAAATGTAGGACATTTATTCATTAGTGACTATATATCTAATTCATTCATACTCTAAACACTATAGATATTGATAAAAATGACATGTGACTGTATGCTTTCTCTCTAATAAAATTGACATATGCAAATCTGTGTGTGTGTGTGTGTGCATGTGTGCATGTGTGTTTAAAGATATTGAGTTTATTTCCCAGAGTAAAAGCCCTCACTTTTCAGGATAGTAAAGGGAAAACTTCAAATCAATTTAATCTATTAAACTAAGTCCAATTCAATAAATAAACCAGTCTCATTGCATGATTTACTCTTGTTAGGATAATTTTCCTGTCCTTGGAGATCTTCTTTCCCTATGCTTTCTCCTCTCCCAGGTGACAGAAGAATTTAGGGGGTGGAAAGAAGAAGTCATGTAGCCTCCTAGTGAGATAAGGTTTGGCTGTGTCCCCACCCAAATCTCATCTTGAATTGTAGTTCCCATAATTCCCATGTCATGGGAGGGACACAGTGAGAGGTAATTGAATCAGGAGGGCAGTTCCCCCATGCTATTCTCATGATAGTGAGTAAGTTCTCAGGAGATCTGATGGTTTTATGAGAAACTTTCTCCCTCACTCAGTTCTCATTTTTCTCTATCCTGTCACCATGTGAAGAAGGACATGTTGCTTCCCCTTCTGCCGTGATTATATGTTTCCTGAGGCTTCCCCAACCATGCTAAACTGTGAGTCAAATAAACTTTTTTTTTTTAAATAAACTACTCAGTCTTGAGTATTTCTTTATAACAGCATGAGAATGACTAACACAGTAAATTGGTATTGGTAGTACAGGGGCACTGCTGTAAAAATACCCAAAAGTGTGGAAGTGACTTTGGAACTGGGTAACAGGCAGAGGTTGGAAGAGTTTGGGGGGCTCAGAAGACAGGAAGATGTGGGAAAGTTTGGAACTTCCTAGAGACCTGTTGAATGGCTTTAACCAAAATGCTGATAGTGATATGGACAATGAAGTCCAGGCTGAGGTGTTCTCAGATAGACAGGAGGAACTTGTTGGGAACTGGAGGAAAGGTCACTCTTGCTATGTGAAGAGACTGGTGGCATTTTGCTCCTGTGTTAGAGATCTGTGGAACTTAGAACTTAAGAGAGATGATTTACGGCATCTGGCAGAAGAAATTTCTAAGTGGCAAAGCATTCAAGAGGAAACAGAGCATAAAAGTTTAGAAAATTTGTGGCCTGACGATGTGATAAAAAAGAAAAATCCATTTTCTAAGGAGAAATTTAAGCTAGCTGCAGAAATTTACATAAGTAACAAGGAGCCAAATGCGAATCACCAAGACAATGGGGAAAAAGCTTCCAGGGCACATCAGAGACCTTCATGACAGCATCCATCACAGGCTAGAAGGCCTGGGAGGGAAAAATGGTTTTGTGGGCCAGGTCCAGGGTTGCCCTGCTGAGTGTAGCCTAGAGAATTGCTGCCCTGCGTTCCAGCACCTCCAGCCATGGCTAAAAGAGTCCAAGGTACAGCTCAGGTCATTGCTTTAGAGGGTGCAAGCCCCAAACCTTGGCAGCTTCCATGTGGTGTTGGGCCTGTGGGTGTGCAGAAGACAAGAATTGAGTTTTGAAAACCTCTACCTAAGTTTCAGAGCATGCATAGAAACATCTGGGTGTCCAGGCAGAAGTCTGCTGCAGGAGCAAAGCCCTTATGGGGAACCTCTGCTAGGGCACTGCAGAAAGAAAATGTGGGGTTGGAGCTATCACACAGGGTCCTCACTGGAACAGTGCCTAGTGGAGCTGTGAGAAGAGGACCACCATTCTCCAGACCCCAGTATGGTAGATCCACTGACAGTTTTGCACTGTGTGGCTGGAAAAGCCACAGATACTCAATGCTGGCCCATGAAAGTAGCTGGGATGGGGTCTGTACCCTGCATAGCCACAGGGGTGGAGCTGTGCAATGCCATGGGAGACCACTTCTTGCATCAGCATGACCTAGATGGGAGACACGGAGTCAAAGGAGATCATTTTGGAACTTTAAGTTTTAATGATTGCCCTGTTGATTTTTGACTTGCATGGGACTTGTGGCCCCTTTGCTTTGGCCAATTTGTCCTATTTGGACCAGGTATATTTGCCCAGTGCCTGTGTCTTCATTGTATCTAGGAAGTAACTAACTTGCTTTTGATTTTATAGGCTCGTAGGTGGAAGGGACTTGCCTTATTTCAAATGAGACCTTAGTCTTGAACTTTTGGGGTTAATGCTGGAATGAGTTGAGACTTTGGGAGATTGGTAGAAAAGCATGATTGTGTTTTGAAATGTGAAGACATAAGATTTGGGAGGGGTCAGGGACAGAATGATATAATTTGGCTGTATCCCCACCCAAATCTTATCTTGAATTTTAGTTCTCATAATTCACATGTGTCATGGGAGGGACCCAGTAGGAGGTAACTGAATCATGGGAGTGGTTTCCCCCATGCTATTCTTGTGATAGTGAGTAAGTTCTCATGAGATCTGATGGTTTTATAAGGGGCTTCCCCCTTCACTCGGTTCTCATTCTTCTCTCTCCTACCACCATGTGAAGAAAGATGTCTTGCTTCCCTTTCTGCCATGATTGTAAGTTTCCTGAGGCCTCTCCAGCCATGCAGAACTGTGAGTCAATTAAACCTCTTTTCTTTATAAATTACCCAGTCTCAGGTATTTCTTCATAGCTGCATGCGAACAGATTAATACATAGTGTCAGGTGGATAAGCTCCCATTTTCCCACACATAGGTCCTTGTCTTTTTCTCCGGTTCTCCTGGTTGCTGAGATAATGCTCTTTGGCTGCCTGATGGGGAGACATCCTGCTGGCATCACGTGATAAAATGTGTGGCAAGTTCTCTTACTTTGATCGGTGTCCTGTGATTACTTCTACTGAACTACCCTCTCAGCAACTGGTGGTGTTGTGTATACTGTGAGAGCTCACTGTAATATTCTGTTGATCCCAAGGAAGAATGGTCTACTTAAGTATCATCAGCTATAGGGTCACTTCATACCCCGAGATATCTCTCCTGATAAGCTTACCAATAAGCACCATCAGCTACTTCTCATATCCCTCTTCAGAACATGAAAAAATACGTTGAGAATATATAACAATTTTAAACTCAAATTGTTATATTAGCTATGTGACAAAATATTAATTTTAAGTGAACTTTAGCATCTTAGCCTATGCACCAAAAAATAAAATATGGTCAATATTAAAATCAGTAATTTATTGATCATGAAGCCGTATGTATTAAAACGTATTATTGGGCTAGATAACTGTATAAAATGCTTTTAGGAATTGTATCCCTAATCTAGTTCAGCAAAAGCTGCTCTTTTGGCCATCACTAACCATCTGGTACAAGATATTATTATTTGCCATTTTAACATTTTAATGTGTGGAAAGTCTTGTTCATCAGTCACCTTTATCTTTAATTGAGAACATGCTGTACAGTTTATATGAAAATGAAAATGCAAAGCTTATAGATAAATGAGTCAGTTTGTGAAATAACAATTTCACAATAAAGTGAATATTATAGAGATTGTTTACTGAATGAGACAGAGGAGTAACTATGCTTGCTTCCAATCAGTGTCACACCTGCTTAGAGATTAAATTGCATTATTTTATGCTACATTAAAATGGCATTTTCTAGAGTGGTATTTTATGTTTCTGATTGGCAGTTGTGAATTCCTTTGTAAACTCTGCAACATTCTGTTTTCTGCAGTGAACATTTCTATCAGTGACAATTCAGCCATAATTTCATTTCAGAAAAATAAAATGTCAGCCTGGACACAATTATATATACAACCTCTTTTTGTAAACCACAGTAATAAGAAATTTTAACATCATTAATAACTTCTAAATTTAGGCAGATGGAACTTCAATTTAATGTTTCATCCGAAAACCATCCCATACAAACATTAACGCTGAATAAAAACCTGTGAAAAGAGAATACACTTTTTATTTTATAATTCTAAATTAGATTAAAAAAAACTGCGACTAATGGACGTTTTTTGTTATGTGTTTGTTTAATTTCTTTTAGAATGACTTTGACCTTTGTGTTTTGTACTTTTCTTTTTTAAATTTATGACTAAATATGTATTTGTATTTGATTGCATTCTTGAAATAACAACAACCCAATGGTCTAAGAAGGCCATAATTTTAAATCAGATTTTTAACTTATGTATTTTTGCTAAATATCATATCTTTTTAATTTAAAAATTATGCCATTATTTCAGGGGAAATATCTGAATTATGAAGTCACAGAAAGAAGATTATTTATATAGTTTTCAAGCACAATATAAAACTGTTTTTTAATGTTGGGATCTATAATTTCATTAATGATGGAGAAAATGGGGCAGCATCACTCTTAATTTGCATTACACAAATGCACTTACATACTCTTTTTTTTTTTTCTAAATGGAGACTCTCTCTGTCACCAGGCTGGAGTGCAGTGGCATGATCTCGGCTCACTGCAACCTTTGCCTCCCTGTTTCAAGCGGTTCTCCTGCCTCAGCCTCCTGAGTAGCTGGGACTACAGGTGTGCACCAGCACACCCAGATAATTTTTGTATTTTTAGTAGAGACAGGGTTTTACTATGTTGGCCAGAATGGTCTCGATCTCTTGACCTCATGATCCATTTGCCTTGGCCTCCCAAAGTCTGGGATTACAGGCGTGAGCTGCACTTACATACTTTTATTCAACTTATACTCCTCTGTCATTGTCAATTTTCATAACTCTTGTTCATACAAGGGCTTGTTTCTCTAGACTAGGCATTACCAACCCAAATTCTATGGGTTAAATTTATTCTCAGGCCTGTTTTTGCACATAATTTGAGTGAGGGTGTTTTTTAAGTTTTTAGAAGGTTGAAAAAAGGAAGAGGATGAGGAGGAGGGGCAGTAGGAGATAAACAGAAATGAGAACAAGAACAAAAAAGAACAAGAACCAGAAGAACCAAAAGAGGAACAAAAGAAGGACCAGGAAGGGGAAGAAGTTACAGAAATCATATGTGACTTTTAAAGACTAAATTATTGACTATGTAGACATTTAAAGAAAAGTGTGGTTGATGTCTGTGCAAGTATCTTGCCAAGACAGGCTCTCCTTCAGTATTCAGCATTAAATGCCATAGAAGTACCTAAACCCATACCTATCCTTTTCTTTTTATCTGATCACAATGAAAAAGGCATACATTTCTATGTGGTTCAATGGTTAATTCTCTGCTGTATAGACAAATTGCTGTATCTAAATTACCTTCTTTATCAATTTTTTTGTATTTTAAACTTTTAAACCAGCACTTTTCCATCATCAATGAATCCTACTATCCTTATGACAAAATCTACTAAGTGTGAGAGTTATAATTTCCACTTTCATATGTATGTCTGACTTCTGACTCCATGACTTTCCCAGTATGACAGTGGTTTTGAATGTGTAATCCCTGGGAGTTCCAGGGTCCCTTTCAGGGGTGTGTAGTGTCCTCCTTTCAAACTACATACCCGTGTGAGGCAAGATTTTCCTCATATACTCAAACCAAAGCATCATATCACAAGAGACTGGATGCAGAAGCAGATATGAGAATCCAACTATCTTCTAGTAAGACAGACTTTATAAAAGACTATGAAAAATATATAAATCAATAACAGCTTTCATATAATTTTCCATTTTGAAAAATATAGTTATGTTTTCACAAAATATATTATTTATAATAGTATAATTGTTTTTTAATAGCTGGTTTAAAATAAATCAATCTATTTTTAAAAACTCTTAGTTTTAATTTCCAATAAATATTGATCTGTATAACCTATATAAACAAAAATAACTTTATTTCCTCAGACAGAAAAGTTTGAAAACCACTGCATCATAGCATAGATTCAAGTTAAGTAAAAATCAGACTACAATAGGTCTGTCTAAATATGGAGGGCAGAGTCTCCAATTGTCCCTGATATTAATAAAATCACCTATTTCACCCAGTTATCTTCAATATTAACACAGTGCCTTTCATGGAATAAGTGCTTAATAAATATTAATGAACATTGATGTAATGCATAAATAAATTGAATTTATAAATGAATACATAAAGAAATCAATCAATTCAGTTCAATATATGGAATCAATGGTGAATTAGAGATGCATTGTGTCTGAGCTGTGGTGGTTTTAAAAAATAGAATAGCTGTTTTCATTATTTGATTGAAAAAGAGAAGCAAAAACATATATGCCACAAAATAAAGAAGTTGTCATTGTCTTCTCTGATTAACACTACAATCCCTCATACTTTCATAACTTTGAATTTTCCTCTCTTGTCTGCTTTGGGCACTCACTAAAATGCCCATGCCCAGATCCAGATTTGGGTGATAACTGATCTTCATAATTCCTATCTCATGTTAGGCCTTCCATAATGTTTTATTAATAAACGTATAATCATATATATTTTTGTTAAAGATTGTAAATTTTGGCAGAAACTTCCATTTTTAAAAATGCGACAATTTAAACACATTTGTATAATTTGGAAGAGCAAATCAAATTTTGAGTTATTATTGTAAAAATAACATTAACATAGAAAAGGAAGAAGAAAGAGGAGGAAAATGAAAAGAACATGAAATAATTTATTTTAATATGCATTTATAGTGAGAAGAATACAAATCAGGGCAAAAAGGACCCTTAGAATTTTCAGGATGACCTTCACTTTTCTCCTCATCCTGCATACAAGCATACCTTGGAGATATAGGGGGTTTGGTTCCAGACTACTACAATAAAGTAAATGTGTCAGTGAAGTGAGTCACAAAGAACATTTAGTCTCCTTGTGCTACTGTAATCTAGAAAGTGTGCAATAGCATTATGTCTAAAAAGGCAATGTACGTACCTGAACTAAAAATATTGATTAAAAATGCTAACAATTATTTGAGTCTTCACTTCTTTTTGCAGTGGAGGGTCTTGCCTTGACATTGATGGCTGCTGACTTATCAGGATGGCAAAAATGAAGGATGGGATAGCTGTGACAACTTAAATTAAGGCAACAGTGAAGCTTGTTGCATTGATTAACTCTTCCTTTCACAAATGATTGCTCTGTGGCATGCAGTGATCTTTGGTATTTTACCCACAGTGGAACTTCTTCCAAAATTGAAGTCAATTCTGTCAAATCCTATTGCTGCTTTATTAACTAAGTTTATACAATATTCTTAATCTTTTGTTGTTGTTTCAAAAGTGCTTACAAGAAATTCACCAGCAGTAATTTCCATCTCAAGAAACCACTCTATTTTTTTTTTCATTTATAAGAAGCAAGTCCACATCTATTAAGGTTTTACCATGAGATTGCAGGAATTCAGTTCCATCTTCAGGCTCCACTTCTAATTCTAGTTCTCTTGCTGTTTCCACCATTTCTGCAGTTGCTTCCTCCATTAAAGTTTCAAACCTCTCAAAGTTAGCCATGAGGGTTAGAAGCAACTTCTTCCTCACTACTACTACTTCTGATATTTTTATATTCTCCCATGAAGAATGAATGCTCTAAATGGCATCCTGAATCGTGAATTCTTTTCAGAAGGTTTTTAATTTACTTTGCCCAGATTAATCAGAACTATCACTTTCTGGGGGAGCTATAACATTTTGAAACGTATTTCTTAAATAATAAGATGTAAAACTTGAAATTAATCCTTTATCTATGGACTGCAGAATGGATTTTGTCTTAGCAGGCATGAAAACAACATAAATCTCTTTGTACATCTTCATCAGAGCTCTTGGGTGACTAGATGCATTGTTGGTGAGCAGCAGTACCTTAAAGGAATCTTCTTTTCTGAGCAGTAAGTCTCAATAGTGGGCTTAAAATAGTCAGTAAACCATGCTGTAAAGAGACGTGATTTTCTCCAGGCTTTAGTGTTCAATTTGTAGAGCACAAGAAGAGTGGATTTAACATCAATCTTAAGGGTCTTACAATTTTTGGAATAGTAAATGACCATTGCCTTCAACTTAAAGTCACCAGCTGCATCATCCTCTATTGACTTTTTCTCTCTAGTTATAGAAGTCCTGGATGGTATCTTCTTTCGACATAAGACTATTTTATCTATATTGGAAATCTGTTGTTTAGTGCAGCCACCTTTATCAGTTATCCTACCTGTATCTTCTGGATAACTCTCTCCAGCTTCTATAACAGTGCTTGCTGCTTCACCTTCCATTTTTATGTTATGGAGACGGCTTCTTTCCTTAAACCTCATGAACCAAGTTCTGCTAGCTTTCTTTACTCCTGTGGCTTTCTTACCTCTCTCAGCCTTCATAGAATTGAGGTAAGTTAGGAACTTGCTCTGGATTAGGCTTTACTTTAAGGGAGTATTGTGGCTGATTTAATCTTTCCAGACCACTCAAACTTTTTTCATATCCAAAATAACACTTTCATTTTCTTATTATTCATGTGTTCACTGGAGTAGCACTTTTCCATTTCTTCAAGAACTTTATTTTTTTTGCATTCACAGCTAAGCTTTCAGCCTATCTCCTCTTTCTACAGGCCCTCCTCAGTAAGCTTAAACATTTCTAAATTTTTATTTAAAGTAAGAGGCATGAAAAGTGTTTCTTTTGCTTGAGCATCTAGAGACCATTGCAGACTTATTAACTGGACTAATTTTAATTTTGTCATATCTCAGGGAAAAAGGAGGCCCAAGGAAAGTAAGTGAGATGTAGGAAGGACTGGTGGATGAAGCAGTAAGAACACACAACATTTACCAATTGTTTGTCATCTGATATGAGTATAGTCCATGGACCCCAAAACAGTGCAATGATTATATCAAAGATCACTTATCACAGATCACCATAACAGATAAAGTAAATAATAAAAAATGGAAATATAGCTAGAATTACCAAATGTCACACAAAGACACATGCCAAACATACTGTTAGAAAACTGACATAGATAGATTTGCTTGGTGCAGGGTTGCCACAAATAGTCACCTTGTAAAAAACCACGATATTTGCAAAGTAGAATAAAATGAAGCCCAATAAAGTGAGGTATGCCTGTATTTTCATGCATCTATTAAAATATTTAGAAAAACAATTCAGCCATTTGGGAAAAACATCTTTTTGATTAAGAGGGATTTCATTTCTGCTCCTAACTGGGGAAAATGTATCATGGAAAATTATTTGTCAATCAGATAATTTTAAACCTTCCTTCTTTTTTGAAAGGAATGCCATTGCAATAATTATTAAAACAATATGTCCAGTGATTTAAATATTTTAGTGATAAAATAATGCTACAATAGCAAAGTGATTCTATTTAAGAAAATATGGTGCTAAAAACAGCAAACACAAACTGTTAGCAAAATACATGAAAAAATTAAATGTATCAATAAGGGCCAATTTGAACCTGAAACGTTGAATACACACCACTTCAGTTTGCCTTTGATGTTTTAAGAGATGTATTTAAGAAGTTCATGTCTATTGAAATCAGCATTTGGTTTGGAGACAATGCCATATCAACTCTTTCATGAGATGTAAAACATCATGTCTGAAAGTTTCAATCTATTAACTACCTTCAATAAGAAATGGAACACATAAACTCCAATAATTTCAAGAATATATGTTCTAAATCATTTTCAGTCTTACAACAAAAATTTTGCATATTAATAAGCATTCAAGCATCTCGAAATAATTGTTGTCCTCTAATTTTGCTGCCCCTGTCCCCAAAGTACTTATGTTTTGCTAATTAAAACAACGCAAAATTCTGGCTAGAAAAATTTGCACAGAAGGTGGACAAACTCAATTGTGAAGACAGGTCTTGGAAACTCAAGTTAACTAAGACGTCCATCACTGTTTAAGTAATGGCTGGCAGGAATTATGCTAGTAAGAGATGACATATTAAGCAACATGAGTCAAAGTCTTAGGAACCCATATACATATTAGTATTAACCAGTATTCCACACGAATAGATATAATCTTGTTTCATTCAAAAAATACATTCTGACGTCGAATTTCTGTTTGCAGTGAATATCAGTTCAAGAATATGAAATGAAGCAAAACTATATATACACTGTCAGGGCGTTCAATCTTTAGATATGAGAACTCTATTTTAGAAAAAAATTGACAGAAGGAAACTTACATAATGCAACAGCAATTCTTTTCCATTCTATTTCTAAAATATACTTCTACGTTGTTCATTTCTCTCATACGCACTCTACCATCAACAGAGCCAAGCCCTGTTCATAACCCAAGGGATTGATTTCTCAACAGATTTTATTACTTACACTTTTGTCCTCTCCCACTCATTTTGGCAAAGCAGAGTGATTGCTGAAAAATCTAAAAATGATTCTGTCATAATTGCCAGTTAAAATGCTCCACTAAATTCTAAATAGATATGAAATAATATAAAAAATCTTTACTATTTTATCCATATGCTGCACATATGAGAGTTAACCTGGCTCATGCCTGTAATCCCAGCACTTTGGGAGGCCAAGGCAGGCGTATCACTTGAGGTCAGGAGTTCTACACAAGCCTGGCCAACATGGCAAAACACCATCTCTACTGAAAATACAAAAATTAGATGGGCATGTCCCCACAACCTGTAGTTCCAGTTACTCAGGAGGCTGAGGAAGGAGAACTGCTTGAACCTGGGAGACCGAGGTTGCAGTGAGCTGAGATAGACCCACTGCATCCCAGCCTGGGCGACAGAGGGAGACTCCATCTCAAAAACAAACAAACAAACAAACAAACAAAGTTAACTTACAGAAATGATAATGTAGATTTGTTTATTTTATGGAAATATATAATCATTTTTATATCATTCTGTTTAAATTAGGTCATATTAAAATAACAACAGACACAAAATTCTCAGGGGTATTGTCAGAAGCTTTTGAACCAGAACAACTCCCTCTTGAATAGAGGCTGAGTAAAATGAGCCTGAAACCTACTGAGCTGCGTTTCCAGTAAGTTAAGGCGTTCTTAGTCACAGAATGAGATAGGAAGTCGGCACAAGATACAGATCATAAAGACCTTGCTGATGTAACAGCTTGCAGTAAAGAAGACAGCTAAAACCCACCAAAACCAACATGGTGACGAGAGTGACCTCTGGTGTCCTCACTGCTGCACTCCCGCCAGTGAGTTTACAGTTTACAAATGTCAGTAAGTTACCCTACGTGATCTAAAAAGGGGAGGCATGAATAATTCACCCCTTGTTTAACGTATAAGCAAGAAATAACCATAAAAATGGGCAACCAGCAGCCCTCGGGGCTGCTCTATCTATGAAGAAGCCATTCTTTCATTCCTCCATTTCTTTTTTTTTTTTTGTATTTGAGAAGGAGGCTCGCTGTGTTCCCCAGGCCGGAGTGCAGTGGCGCGATCTCGGCTCACTGCAAGCTCGGCCTCCCGGGTTCACGCCATTCTCCTGCCTCAGCCTTCCAAGTAGCTGGGACTACAGGCGCCCGCCACCTCGCCCGGCTTATTTTTTGTATTTTTAATAGAGACAGGGTTTCACCGTGTTAGCCAGGATGGTCTCAATCTCCTGACCTCGTGATCCACCCGCCTCGGCCTCCCAAAGTGCTGGGATTACAGGCGTGAGCCACCGCGCCCGGCCTCATTCCTCCATTTCTTAAGAAACTTACTCTCAAGGTACTCTATGGAATTGCCTAGAATTCTTTCTTTCAGGAAACCCAGGAACCTTATCTGCAGGTCTGGATCGTGACCTCTTTTCCGTAATAGTAAATAAGCGCACATTTTAGCTTCTTACTGAAATAACATCATGGTTATAAGTTAAAATCGAGGCTGTTTTTAAAAAAGTTCTTGATCCGGCCTTGATTCTTAAGGAGATATTCTCGTCTAGGCATATCATGGCAGAGCGTAAAAACAGCATTGAAATTTACTATTATTAGAAGCCTCTTGAATGCTATAATATTTTTAAATAATATTTCTTATATTTAAGATGAATTTTTATTCGTATTTCTTATGTTTAATAATATACTCATGTTTAAAACATATTATTCAAAGTGCCTTGAACTACAGTTTTCACTCGGTATCCATGGAGGTACGGTTCTAGGATGCCTACAGAAACCAAAATCTGTAGATGTTCAAATCTCACATGAAAAATGATGCACTGTTTTCATATACTCTAAACACATCCCTCCATATACTTTAAATCATCTCTACGTTGTTTATAATACCGAATACAATGTAAATGCTACATAGTTATTATACAATTTTTTGTATGTGTATTATTTTTAATTTTTGTATTTTATTTTTGTTTTTATTTTGGTGAACACAATATTTTCTATTTGTGGTTGGTGAATCCACAGATACAGAGGGCTAACTGTTAAGTCTCTTTGTTTTATTCAGAAATCTGCAAGGTAAAAACATCTCCAAGTATGACTATTGTTCCTATGAAGGCGGGGTAATAAATCAATCAATGTTGTGAATTTTAAATCACCCTAAATATTATCTAAAATGATGGAATAAAAAATAGAAATAAGTGTTCTTAAAGTTTCTTTCTACTGGACACCACTGTCCCATAACATCAGAGAATTATAAGGGAAAGATTATAAGCCTAATTTCCTAGAACATGAAAAGAGATTAAACTTTGTTATTGGCATGAACAATGAGAAGCTCAATTTGGGATAATTTTTATTATTCTTTCCATTATAAGATGCACAGTATACTAATCTAATGAGCGCAAATAAGATTGACTTGTCATTAGATGTGTAAAGTATTTCAACAGCATCACTTTATTCTCCTTCAATCTCCTAACATAGTATGTGATTCATGTCACACAGATATTCATTCAAAAAGGTGAAAATGTTAATCTCTACCTAAGTTTTTCAGTGAGTTACAAGGATGTCCTTTGATGATTGAATTAAATGACACAGAAAAATGCCCAAGTTAGTCTAATGTACTCTCGTTAAAATGCATGTATGTTTTACCTAGTATAGGTCTTTCTATTGGCTATGCACCTAGGGATATATATTTTTTAATGCATTCTGATGGAAAATTTCTTACTGGAAAAAGTTTTTAAAGATCACATTTGGTGAATAACATGTGAAAAAGTGTAATTTGTTTTGCTCAGTCTGGATTTTGTCCAGAAAATAATACTTCCCTGTATTCATACTGAAGACACATACAATTGTTACATTGGATTTTCACTTACAAAGTGTTGTGATGGGTATATTAGCATTTATATAGAAAATATGATTTTTTACAATGAATACCAATTATTTTTATTTTTTACAATATCTAGCACTCAGGATAAGTGTATGGTATAAACTCAGAATATAGGTGCATGCCAAGTCATGTATTCTATAATATACTAAATTCCCATAAAATTATAGGTATGTTGTGCTTAGATAAATTCTTAGTTATCAGAGGAATGCATTTTTGGTTACTAATTTTAGGATTTAGTATAAACTGTATATATGACTGGTTAGTTTTAAAGACCAAATAAGAAAAGGTGAATGGGAACAGCCCTCAGGAAAAAAATGATTGGTATGAATTTAATGGAATTTTACATCATACAAGGATTTCTTACTCCATGAAGGGGGATGAGATGGTACGGTTTGAAACAAAGAGATGAAATTGGGCAAATGAAGTTAAAAGTACTGGCAACATAAAGTTCACTGCTTAATATTAGCTGCTTATTTAAGAATATCTTTCCATAATTCATTGAATTCAGACTGGTTTGTGAAAACTTATTATGCTCCAGGCAATTAAGATATAGCAAAAATTAGATATTATCTTGTCTTCAAGAGATATAGGCTGTTATCCTAGGTATAGAGAAGTAAACTGGTGATTTTCCTAGAGTAAAATAAATATTTTGACAGATGAATATTCAGAGTTTTATGGGATGAAATGCGGTTACAGAGACCTGTAACCATCTTGGAAAATGTGGCATAGAGCTGAGTCCTGGTGGCTGCTCAGAAGCTAACTCAAGAAAGAACTGGGAAGAGCATTTTCAGGCATGAAAGTATAGTACATAAAAGCTGAGAGTTGGGAGAGATTGTACATAAAGTATAAATGGGAGAGTGCTGAGCCAAGTAAACATATGGGCACCAATGCATGCATGCTTATTTGTGATGCATAGATGGGAGGGCACAGGACAAAGACCCTGCAAACATAATCCTCAGTGTACCATGGAAATAGCACAGCAGTTTGTTTTCTTCTCCTTTAGGAAATTTGAAGAATTATATTTAAAGATAGTTTATAAGAATAAAGCAAATTAAAAATACAAATATATAAAGAAGGCAAAAAATACCACCTAGCTCTCAATATTTGGTTTTCAGCCTCAATGTTATATTTTAATATATTTTAGCTTCCTAGTTATTGTTTGGGAGGGTTTGTAGTTACAGATTATATCACTCTCCCTTCTGCTTTGAGGAACTGACAAAGGAGTCTGACCTAAAATGGTAATTTCATTTACAGATGAATCTGGATGACTAAACTCATCAGGGACAAGGATAATATGGCCTCTTGGGTGCTTTCCCTTCAAACTGAACTTTCCTAAAATCTCAGAAGTAGCGGTACCATACTCAACCTAGAAGAAAGGTAAGATTTCTATAAAGAAACAAACAAACAAAACCATCAGTGTAGCATGTTTTTAGTAGTGTTGGCATTGTTCATCGAATAGTACTTGTGTTTACTGTGGGATACTGAAAATTAGTAATAATACAATATTCTAATCAAATAATACCTTATGCCTTTAAGAAACAAGGTTCTAGATGTGGTGAAAGAAGAAATAGAGATACAAGATAGGATAAAGTTTGTAAGCCTGAATTCCATTTGGAACTCTCAGAATGGAATCATAAATCTCTTTTATATAATATGTTTCCTATAACTGCCAATGGAAAGGCTTAGAAATAGTGAAAGAAACCTCTTCTTTGAAGCATCCTGTGTGAAAAATTACTGCTAGTGTCCAGACAGTGGTCCTGAAATAACATATTTCACTAAAAAGCAAATATGATAACAGAGATCTCCATAGAAACAAATTTATTCCTTGTTTGAGGCAGAGCATGGACAAGATGGACCATTTTGATAACCAATTAGCACAGGAGTAAAATAGCTAGTAAGGATCTTATTAAGAAGACTCAGGAGACAATTTGAAGCAGTATTCACTGGCAAAAGATGGAAAATTTGTATCCAAGAAGACACTGAATGAAGCACAGCCAAATACATCAACCATACTAAATCCATAAGTTCATAACAGTATTTAAGACATAAGTTTTCAAATATGATGTGTTGTCAGGAAGCAAAGGAACAGTACCAAGCATTTATCTTGCCTTTATTAATGAACTAAACCCTAAAATAACCACAGGTCTACAAGGTAAAATGTATCTTTTTATAAGTATTCTTTTATCCTAAAAGAAGGAAAAATAATGTAATTATAAGAAAATTTGTGATAAACTAATAAATTAGTGTATTGAACATCAGCTCATACAAGAAGAAGATATATAGTAAACATTATATGACTTTTGATGAAAGAAAAAAATGCCATCTATAAAGAAGTCTTGACAGAACATCACATGGGTTATGACTGAGTCTCGAGCGAAGCAAACCTCAGTGAAATTTTTTTTTAAGTTGTAGAAATGAACAAGCTGATTTTATAGCTTAAAGTTAAATATAAAGAATATGGAATGTCTAAACAATCTTGAAAGAGAAGAAATTTGGAGAACTTACACTACCTGATTTTAAGACTTATTACCATGTATCTAGACTGTGGTTTTTGTGTAAGAATAGAAATAAAGAACAATGGTGTGAAAAACAGAAGCAAGAACAGACATCTTACATGTACTAGTTTAATAGCTTTTTGACAAAGTTACCAAATAATTTCAATGTAGACGGGGTAGTCTTTGAACAACTAAGGGTAGGACAATTGGATACAATCTTTGGGGAAGAATTAACAACAGTATTTAAAACCCAACTAACACAATATTCAATTAATACAAAAATATACCACAGACAGATATTTTAAAGTTGAAATATATGAAAGATAGGCAGAAACACGGAAAACATAGGAAAGATCACTGCGAAAATGAAACGGTAGAAAAAAATTAGTTTTGACCTTGATGGAGGCAAGAATTTTCTAGAAATGACAAAAAAGTATTAAGCACACACAAAACAGATACATTTTATTGAATCATATTACTTATATCCTTTAAGATACATTTTAAAGATGAAAAGTACGCCTCACAAGGAGAGAAAAATGGTTGCATGCTTTATTAGACAAAGGACTTGTTTACACACTTTATAAGATATCTTTAACTTTATGAAAGTTAACAACCCAACAAAAAAAGGTCAAAGATTTTAATACACACTATCCAAAAGAAGTTAAATGAATATTACATAACCAAATGAAAAGAAACAAACATTCATAGTCATCAGGGAAATGCAAATTAAGCCACAACAAAATACCACCACACAAAATGAGAATGGCTAAAATTAAAGACACGCCACATACTGGTGGGATGGGAAATAATTTATTGTCATTGCTGGTTAGGGAGTAAAATATTTTGGAAGTTTCATATAAAATTAAGAACACACTTCCTATATAAAGGAGTAATTTCAACTCTAGGTATTTAAACAAGAGAATGGCTTGCACACAAATGTTCATAGCAATTTTTTTAAGGTACAGACCTAGAAACAATACAGACACCCATCAAAAGCAAATAAATTAATATTGTGATATATACATAGAAATATGACTTGGTAATATAAGGTAAGGAACTGCTGATATCACATACGGTAGCAAAGATGAATTTTATGAACAGCATGCTGAGTTACAGAAGACAGAAACAAAATAGTATAAATGTTAATATTTTATTTATATGAAATCTTAAAATAGTCAAAACTAATCCTTAATCATAGAAACCAGCTGTGGTTTTTTGAGGCTGAAGAATGAGATTGTGGAGTGATGGGATGAGGATAACTACAAAGAAAACTTTAGTAAGTAATCTGATTTGGTTGTGTCCCCACCCAAATCTCATTTTGTGTTGTAATCCCCATGATCCCCATGTGTCTAGCAAGAGACCCTGGTGGGAGGTGATTGGATCATGAGGGAAGTTTCTCCCATGCTGTTCTTGTGATAGTGAGCGAGTTCTCAAGAGATCTGGTGATTTTATATTTTCTAGGGCTCTTCACACTTGGCTCCTCACTCTTCTTTCTCCTGCTACCATGTAAAGAAGGTCTTGATTCCCCTCCAACTTCCGCCATGATTATAGGTTTCCTGACGCCTCCCCAGCCATCCTAAACTGTGAGTCAATTAATCCTCTTTTCTTTATAAATTACCCAGTCACAAGCAGTTCTTTAGAGTAGCGTAAAAACAATTACAGTGAATTATAGAAATATTTTATTATTATTATGGTTGAACTGCTTTGATTATATATTTTTATAATGTATCAAAGTATATGCCTAAAATGTTTTTTTAAAAATAGGGAAGCTATACTTCAATAATGTAGATTATTTAAACAATTAAGAATATGCGAAGTAGAATGACTTTTTCTGTTGTTCTAAAATCTTGCAAACATAAAATAGAATATTTGTAGTGTTGTGTTTGGGGACATGTTACACATTGATGCCCTGGTTTGAGTACTATGAAAACTAAAAAATATTTTCTAAAAATCTCTCTTAAATTCATTATGAAATTTTACTTTAATATAAAATTGATTAAACCATGTCCCCATTTTATTTCAATAGGCAATATACTATTATTGTTCTTTAGAAATAGGATTGTCTCTGAAGTGATTTGAGATTATGATGTTAAGATAAAAAATGAACATAAATATTTACACAATATTCATGGCCTTTATTCACTGGTTCATTGCTTTTTATTTTGTTTTGTTTGCTTTGTGATCTACTTCTCAGTTCAGCAAAAATGTCAATTCCTTAAATAAACTCATTATACATACTAATTGAGTAAATGTGCTCTTTATAAATAATATTATCATGTTGAAACTTAATAAAAATGCCCAAATATGAATTTTTTAAAAAAACCTGTAACTATGATGTTAATTAATCCATGTGGAAAGCAATAGACTATTTAGACAAATAAGTTGTATGCTTCTGTATAGAATAACAATTTAAATAAATCACCAACCAGAAAAGAGATAAAAACATTGTGTATTGGTACAGCAAAACAAATGCTAGACTTTATCTCAAGTTCAGTGAAGCTATATGAAAATCTCAATTGAATGGCAAAGAAAATAATGAGAAATGCTTTTAGGCCTGAACAACATTTAACAGAAATATCAACCAAAAAAAACCCCACAATTTTAATACGGCAGGAGTTGAGGAAACCTGCCAACAACTGAAGATCTATTTTGTAGTGAATATAAAAATGTGAAGGTGATTCCAAGGAATTCAACTGAAATAAATTCACATGAACCATGATTAACTGGATTGGAGACTAAAACTAGCTAAACTCTGCTGAATAAAGCTGGGTTAACAGCCAAAAGAGAGATGTTTTTCTAAATGATACCTGAAGTCTACTTAACTTTTTAAAAATGTTTCTTTTTTTGTTGTGCTAAAAATCATATAAGATTTATCCTCTTAGAATTTTAAGTGTGCAACACAATATTGTTTAAGCACAATGTCCTTCAGCCAACTTTAGAATTTTTCAACCTGCATGACTGAAACTTTGCACCATTGAACAGCCATTATCCATTTTCCCCTTCCCTCAGCCCTGACAACCACCATTGTACCTTCTCCTTTCCTGAGTTTGCCTACTTTAGATATCTCACACACGTGGAAGCACGCAGTGTTTGTTCTTGGTTGACTGGGTTGTTTTACTTAGCATAATATCCTCAGATTAATACATTTTATAGCATATGACAAGATTCCCTTCTTTTTGTGGCCGAATAATATTCCTTTATGTGAATATACCATATTTTCTTTATCCATTCATCCATCAATGGACGTTTGAATTGTTTCCTTATCTTGCAAATCAGACTGCAATACCATAAAAATGCACATATCTCTTTGAGATCCTTATTAATTTTAACTTTTATTTTTGGTTCAGAGGAACATGTGAAGATTTGTTATATAGATAAATTGCATGTCATGGGATTTAACATACAGATGATTTCATCACCCAGGTAATAAACATAATACCTAATAGGTAGTTTTTTGATCCCTTCTCTTCTCCCACCCTTCACCCTCAAGTAGGTCCCGGTGTCTGTTGTTACCTTCTTTTTGTCTATGTGTTTTCAATGTTTAGCTCCCATTTTTAAGTGAGAACATTTGGTATTTGATTTTCTATTCGCATGTTATTCCAGTTCACTTAGGATAATGGCCTCCAACCTCATGCACGTTCTGCAAAGGACATGATAGGATACTGATTTCAATAATTATAGATAGATACCAGAAGTGTGATTGCTAGATTTCATGGTAGTTCTACCTTTAATTATTTGGGAAAACTCTATACCGGTTTTTATAGATGCTATACCATTTTGCATTCCCACCAACAATATACCAGGACTCTGATTTCTGCTTCACAATACTTGCTATCTTTTTTTTTTTTTGCTTTTCTAATAATGGCCGTTGTAATAGGTGTGAAGTGATGTCTCATTTTTGCTTTTAATTTTCATTTCCCTGATGATTACTGAGGTTGAACATCTTTTAATATCACTGTTGGTCACTTGTACATCTTCTTTGGAAAAATGTCTATTCAAATTCTTTGCACATTTTTTAGTTGGATAATTTATTTGTACGCTATTAAATAGTAGGATACATCTCCTTAAATTTTAACAGTATTTAACAACTTTACAATTGACAAGGCTTTGGTTAGCATGTAAGAAATACATTGCAAGATATTGGGATAATGTAATAAATTCAACAGCAATCTGCAACTGATATTCAGCATATCGCTAATAAAGTAATAATGCTTTAAAACACACACTTTTTGATCAAGATAGAACTATGTCATCTATGTGTCCATTAACGTCCAAATTAGTATCATTTGAGTTATATTTCCTTTCAAAAAATCTCTCATTTGATGAACTAAATAATAATATTGTGAAGAAAAAATAATTTATCATCTCCCACCTCCATTAATGTCAAAAAAGGAATTTTATATAGACAAAAGACATGAAACACGATTTCCTACTATAAATTTTAGATGGATGGATTCTACCTATAAAAGATTTCATCTATGATTTCTTTCTGCCTTAGAGACATTTTGTAGGGCAACACTTTTAAATATTTCATATGAAATCTTGTAGCCTGATGAAAAATGGATGGCTTCTGAATACTTAATTATGTTTTTGTTAAATTTTAGTTTGGTTTTCTTTTTTAAAACTCCATTGGTCCTCTTTTATAATTTTGACAAACCAAAATTAATTTAATAAAACATTTGTTATTTTAAAGCACCTTAAATTCTGCTGATTAAGGGAAATTACCATTACCATTTTAATATATGTCATTCCAACCTTTTGTGTATATTTTATGTAACTGCTATTATAAATTACACATACAATTCACAATCCTCATTTTATAATATAACGATATATTGAACATTCGTCTTATTAAAAGTATTTTATAACATTAGTTTGAATGTGTTCTAAGTTTATAGTTATTTTATTGTAAGGCTAGAACATGCTGTAGCTTTTCTCATACCATTAAGATTTAACTAATTCAAGTATTTTGCTTTTGACTTTTGATTTTATATGTAATGGCAATTGGAAAAATCATTTTTAAAATGTTTATTTCCACTGGAAAAATCCTCAAAATGAATGCTAAACAAAATAATCACCCTAATTTTTAGATGTGATATACATTAGGGTATGTATGTCTGAGTAGATTGTCAATTATTCTCTCATCATTTTCAAATCCTACTTTATTTCTATCTATGCATGTATCTATGTAGTGTTATATATTTATTATTAATTATATATTATTATATAGTATTATATATTTATACTATATGGCAACATATAGTATTTACTACTTTTATAACTTTATACTTAGAATTGTCCACATATTATTCACTTTCTTAAATATTAATTCCTAGTGCAGGATGCACCTTTGTAGAGTCTCATACTTTATATTTACCTAATCACTAATTGTGGGTTATATTGGCTAATTTAAACTTAAATTTCATTTTGATGGAACCACTTAATCGACTCTGTATATTTCTCATAATTTTCTTCATAATGAATGGCATTGGTCATCCAGTTGATATTATAATCTTAATCTTAAAAAATTATATCTTTTCATACAATTCTCTGTACATTTTCACTGTTTTTCTCTAAGAAGAATGACTGTTTTTTACATATATGGTAATATTAGTGTTGACATTAAGTTGTTTTACCAATTTGTTAGAGGCAATATATGAATTATATGAATGTGCTGTTTTTCCTTGCATACGAGTTTTATTAATATTTCTCTTTTTCAGAAATAATTACCAATACATTTTTTCTTTTAAAATAATTTTCTATTTTTTTATATCTATTTTTTGCTTATTGAATTTTGTTGAACTTTTCCTCTGGTTTATTATTTGCTTTTTTATTTTGCCCTAGTAATTCAACAATCACTTTTGTCTCTAATTTTTGTTGTCAAATGTTTTGACCTTTCCTCTTGTGATCTATTTTGTTTTGTATGCTAAGCTAAATATTATCGACCTCACATTGACTTTAATTCTGGCCTTTGTCAATGATTCTCGATGTTTTTAGAAGATATATAAGTGATAGTGTAAGAAACTCAATGTTGTCTTCTGGAACCGTGGGAATGGTGGTGGGGCTTGGATTTGAGGAGCAGTAATAATGGCTGGTACTTGAAAGAAAGACATTTTATTAAATTTTCCATAAACCTTAAGAAATTGATTACTTTTGTCATTATAGTGCATTATTTACCCTTACTTTTAAAATTCGAATGTTTAAAAGTCTACTCTAAGAATAAATGGGTGATTCTTCTTTATATTTAATATTAAATATAAAGAAGAATCACCCATTTATTCTTAGAGATTGTTGGTAGTTTTGTGGCTGAAAAAATTATGAAAACAGGGTGTTTTATAATTTTATTCAACTGGAATTAATGGTGGTTTATGTGTAAGGTAATTACAATTTTATTATTTGCACTTAAAGGATTACCAAAACAGTATATGTTTTGTTTTGTTGTTGTTGTTTTTTTGAGATGGAGTCTCTCTCTGTCGCCCAGGCTGGAGTGCAGTGGCACCATCTCAGCATCTCAGCTAATCACAATCTCCGCCTCCCGGGTTCAAGCGATTCTCCTCCTCAGCCTCCCGAGTAGCTGGGACTAGAGGCACATGCCACCACGCCCAGCTAATTTTTGTATTTTTAGTAGAGACGGGGTTTCCCCATGTTGGCAAGGCTAGTCTGGAACTCCTGACCTCAGGTGATCTACCTGCCTCGGCCTCCCAGAGTGCTGGGATTACAGGCGTGAGCCACTGTGCCCGGCCATGTATTTTTTAAGTATTTTTTTCCCATTGATTTTAAGATACATTTCTTTCTGGTTTTAGTCTCTGCTACACCCATGTGAGTTTCCTGATGATTTAAATTTGTGATTTACAATATTTTCTGTTATTTCTAATGCAAACCTTTTTTTCATATTTTTTTTTGAAGATTCCTGGTCTGTTTATAACAACATATTTATTCCAAGAGAGGTTTATTTGCTTGACAAGTTCAAAATCTTTTTTTTTAAATTTAACTTCTATTTTAATTTTGGGGTACATGTGCAGGTTTTGTTAATAGGTCAACTTGTTGTGTCATGGGGGTTTGTTGTACAGATTATTTTGTCACCCAGGTATTAAGCCTAGTACTTATTAGTTATTTTTCATGATCCTCTCTCTTATCTCAGCCTCCACCCTCCAACAGGGCCAGGTGTGTGTTGTTCCGCTCTATGTGTCCATGTGTTTTCATCATTTAGATCCCACTTATAAGTGAGAACATGTGGTATTTGGTTTTCTTTTCCTGTGTTAGTTGCTAAAAATAATAGCCTCCAACTCCATTCATGTTTCTGCAAAGAATATAATCTTGTTTTTTTTTTTTATGGCCGCATAGTAATCTGTGGTGTATACGTACCATATTTTCTTTATCCAGTCTACCATTAATGGGCATTTAGGTTGATTCCATGTCTTTCTATTGTGAATAGTGCTGCAATGAACCTACTTGTGCATGTGACTTTATAATAGAAAAATTTATATTCCTTTCAGTATATATCTAGTAATGAGATTGCTGGGTCAAATGGTATCTCTGTCTTCAGGCCTTAGAAGAATTGCTACACTGTCTTCCACAATGGTTGAACTAGTTTACACTCCCACCAACAGTATAAAAGCGTTCCTTTTTATCTGCAACCTCATCTGCATTGGTTATTTTTTGACTGCTCAAATAAATAAGAAATGACACAAACAAATGAAAAGACATCTCATGCTCATTGATAGGAAGAATCAATATCATTAAAATGGCCATACTGCTCCAAGTAATTCATACATTCAATGCTATTCCTATTAAACTACTATTGACTAGAAAAAAATATTTTAAAATTCATGTGGAACCAAAAAAGAACCCAAATAGCCAAGACAATCCTAAACAGAAAGAATAAAGTGGGAGGCATCATGCTACCCAACTTTAAACTACATTACAGGGCTATAGTAACCAAAACAGCATGGTTCTGGTGCAAAAACAGACATATAGACTGATGGAACAGAATAGAGAATCCAGAAATAAGACCACACACCTACAACTATCTGATCTTCGACAAATCCGACAAAAACAATCAACAGGAAAAGGATTCCCTAATCAATAAATGGTGCTGGGATAGCTGGTTAGCCATATGCAGAAGATTGAAGCTGGGCTCCTTCCTTATTCCATACACAAAAATTAACTTAAAGACTTAAATGTAAAACCCCAAACTATAAAAACCCTGGAAGATATTACCATTCTAGGCAATACCATTCTGGACATGGGAACAGTCTTAGACTTCATGATGACGAAGGCAAAAGCAATTGCAACAAAAGCAAAAGTTGAGAAAGGGGAACTAATTAAACTACAGAGCTTCTGTACAGCAAAGGAAATTGTCGACAAAATAAACAGACAACCTACAGAATGGGAGAACATTTTTGCAAACTGTGCATCTAACAAGGGGCTAATATTTAGCATCTATGAGAAACTTAAACGAATTTACAAGAGAAAAACAACCCCATTAAAAAGAGGGGGCCAGGCGCTGTGGCTCACACCTGTAATTGCCTGAGCTCAGGAGTTGGAGACCAGTCTGGGCAACATGGTGAAACCCTGTCTCTACTAAAATACAAAAGAAGTTAGCCAGTCGTGGCAGCCTGCTCCTGTAGTCCCAGCTGCTCAGAAGGCTGAGGCAGGTGAATTGCTTGAACTGGGGAGTCGGAGGTTGCAGTGAGCGGAGATCGCACCACTGCACTCCAGCCTGGGTGATAGAGTGAGAATCCATCTCTCTAAAACAAAACAAAACAAAACAAAACAAAACAAAACAAAAAGTGGGCAAAGGTCACAAACAGACATTTTTCAAAAGAAGACATACATGCATACATGTGGCCAACAATCATGTAAAAAAATCTCAACATCACTGACTATTAGAGAAATGCAAATCAAAAAACCACAATGAGATACCATCTCACAACAGTCAGAAAGGCTATTATCAAAAAGTCAAAAACAAATCTTAATGTGTTTTTTGTTAAAATTAATTAAAACATTAATTAATTGGGGTGAGTTTCTGTTTTATTTTAGGTTTTCCATACACAAACATGAAATATGCTTCCATTTTATTTTATTTTATTTTCTTCAATAGAGGTTTTGCAGGTTTTATTTTACTCATACAGGTCTTAAATGTTTCTTCTTAGATTAACTCTATAAGCCTGTATAATCAGTACATCTACTTACTTTTGTTTTTTATTACTATTATAAATGAACTTATTTTCAACCCATCATATATTCAAGTGTTACAATTAATAGCTTTAAGGAAATTTATTCAACTCTATTCATTTTTTTCCAAACTGATATTTTTCATTTATTCATTATTTTGGGGGTAGCAACCTTGTGATTCCACATTGGTGATTTTACTATTTGAAAACGTTTACAGTATGTTTTCAAATATTTATACCTATTTTTATACTTTACAGCATTTGATAAAAAAATTTGTTAATTATGTAATATGTTAGATTAACTGAATGTCACATTTTTTTATTTAGCTTTTTATTTATTCAGTTTATTTTGGTTTTATGTCTTCTCTTATGCAGAATTACTAAATCTTTTTTATTTATTTTATAGGTTTCTGTTTTCTACAAATTCTAATTATTCATCATTTAGGTTAAGTCTCATTTTCTACAATATCAGTTCTTTCTATGTATATTTTTTCTATAAAATTTTAATGTTTTTAAAATTAGATTTTAATATTTTTAAAGTCATATAAGAACATCCAGTATTGACATTTAAATAACTATATTGTATCTAAACACTGTGTAATTGATTAGGTACTATAATACCTAATCTTGGCACTATAATAAAGAAACTCCCAAATCCTAGTGGGTTTACCAAGTAAATATTCTTGGTGGGTTCACAGAGAAATTTTATTTCTTGTTCATGTTGCAGTCCTGTACAGG